>NC_000006.12:19605454-19756969 GCF_000001405.40 Homo sapiens
TGAGAGAGCCTAGATGACAAGTTTAAGTGTTCTTGTCTTAGTCTGTTTTGTGTTGCCAGAAAAGAATACCTAAATCTGGGAAATTTATAAAGAAAAGGGGTTATTTTGCTTATGGTTCTATAGATTGGGAAGTTCAAGGGCATGGTCTTGGCTTCTGGTGAGGGTTCTCCTGCTGAGTCACAACATGGCAGAGACAGTCAAAGAGAAGCAAACACGTTCAAAGAGGTAAACCCGAAGGGCATCCTGGCTTTATAACAATGCACTGTCTCAGGAGCTAATCTATTCCCAGGAGAACTAATCTAGTTTCACAGAGTAAGAACGCATTGTCAAGAGAATAATGCTAAGCCATTCATGAGGAATCCATCCCATCCCCTGTGATCCAAACACCTGCCACTAGTCCCCACCTCCCAACACCACCACAATGGAGATCGAATTTAGTCCCCACCTCCCAACACCAGCACACTGGGGATTGAATTTCAACATGAGTCTTGGTGGGGCAAACCAAACCATAGAAGTGCTTGAAAGGCAAGCTGGAGGTGTCAGGACCTCCACACGGAGGTGCACGGGAGGGCCTCTGAAGGCAGAATACTAAGCTCAGTTGATTTGGGAACCACAACAGGTCCCCCTGTGGAATGGGGCAAGGGAACTGGGAGGTGCAGTCTCCAGTTCACTAGATAAACTGAAGAACAGAGGCCCACCCTAACTTCTTGGATTGTAGAAATGCTGTCAATCTGTTCTAGCCTAAAAAAGGAGGAGGAAGGCACTAAAAATAACTAAGAGTAAACTGCAACATAATAAACAAGAATGCAGTCAGATGAAATTTGATTGTACCCAATGTTAAGAAATGTGAAAGGCCAGAAGCAGTGGTTCACACCTATAATCCTAGCACTTTGAGAGGCCAAAACAGGAGAATCACTTGAGCCCAGTAGAGACCAGCCTAGGCAACATAATGAGACCCTGTCTCTACAAAAAATTAAAAAATTAGCCAGGCATGGTATGGTGACTTTCACCTGAGGTCCCAGCTACTCGGGAGGCTGAGGTGGGAGGATCCCTTGAGCTCGGGAGACTGAGGCTGCAGTGAGCCATGGTATGCCCCTGCATTCCAGCCTGGGTGATAGAGCAAGACTCTGTCAAAAAAAAAAAAAGAGAGAGAGAAAACAGAGAGGGAAAAAGAAGGAAGGAATGAAGGGAGGGAGGGAGGGAGGGAGGGAGGGGAGAAAGAGAGATGGAGGAAGGGAGGAAGGAAGGAAGGAAGGAAGGAAGGAGAAAGAAAGAGAGAGAGAAGGAAGGAAGAGAGAAAGAAAGAAGAAAGAAACAAAGAAAGAAACAAAGAAAGAAAGAAAGAAAGAAAGAAAGAAAGAAAGAAAGAAAGAAAGAAAGAAAGAGAAAGGAAAGGAAAGGAAAGGAAAGGGGGAGGAAGGGAGGGATTAGATTAGATTACATTTTTTTCTTTTTTTTTTTTTTTTGAGACAGAGTCTTGCTCTGTTGCCCAGACTGGGGTGCAGTGGCGCAATCTCAGCTCACTGCAAACTGCCTCCCAGGCTCAAGCAATTCTCGTGCCTCAGTCTCCCAAGTAGCTGGGATTACAGGCGTGAGCTACCATGACGGGCTAATTTTTGTATTTTTAGTAGAGACGATGTTGGCCAGGCTGTTCTCGAACTCCTGACCTCAGGTGATCCACCCGCCTCGGCCTCCCAAAGTCCTGGGATTACAGGCACGAGCCACCGTGCTTGGCCGAGATTACATTTATCTAAAGAGCAATTTAGATCTATTTTCTCCCTCTCTCACAATTTCTCTCTCTCATACACACACACAAAGAAAACACACTATAACAATTGTTATTTATATGCTGTTAAATTATGGCTGGCACTGTTTAATTTTTCGAGTCTTTTTTTGCAGTGAATATGCATTAACTTCAAAATTGCAAAATATACACCGGAAAAAAAGAGCGTAATTAGATGACAAGCCAAAACCCAAAGTATATCCTACTTTCCAGCAGTTCCTCTTGATCTGTAATAAGACACGTCTCCAAGCAAAATCCAAGGCATGAGTTTATATGGTCAAAAGCAGAGCAGGAAGATTGAAGCAAAAATAGTTCTCCTAAGTAGAGAAGAACTAGCTGCCTAGTGTTTACAAATGCTGGCATAAACCGCCTAACAGCTCTTATTTTAGCACACTTACTATCTATTTTCACTATTTCCAAAAGGTAGGAGATTACTCTGTGGCGGATTCTAGGAATGTGTCTTTACTCTCATTTCAGTGAAATTAAGCTTTCTATGTTTCTCCAGAATAAAAGAATAAATAAAACGATATTTCAAAACAGTATCCATTTTACTTTCATGTGTCTGGATGAAGTGAGTTCTAGAGGGAGGTGAGAGGGAGAAGGCAACAAGAGAGAGCAGGAATAGTCAAGACACTGTTTTCAAAAAATAATAACTAAAAGAAGAAGAAAGAGAAAGGATGAGAGTGGTATTTCTAACCTATGTCATACTAGAGACCCCCAAAATATACATTTCTTTCTCTAAGACTCCAGGAGTGAAAAACAGAAATGATGTAGAAGAAATACACACTGTCTTTCATCAAGCAGTTTAAGGTTGAGACATAGTGAATGGGACCAAGGCAGAAAAAACATGACATGACACAGCAACTTCCAAGTTCATCAACTGTCTTTTTAAAATATTGCATCGAAACCCAGCTACTCGGGAGGCTGAGGCAGGAGAATCGCTTGAACCCAGGAGGTGGAGGTTGCAGTGAGCCGAGGTGGTGCCATTGCACTCCAGCCTGGGTGACAGAGACAGACTTTGTCTCAAAAATATATATATATATTGCATCAAGAAACTGAATAAGGTGTGTGTGTGTGTACGAGTGGGGTGGAGAGAGAGAGATTGATTTTTAGGACTTAGCTCATATGATTGTGAGACTGATATATCTAAAATCTGCAGAGTAGTCCAGCAGGCTGGAGAACCAGGGAAGAGCTGATGTTGCAGCTTGAGTCCAAAGGCAGTCTCCAGGCAGAATTTCTTCCTCCTCGGGGAACCTCATTTCCTTTAAGACCTTCAACTGGTTAGATGAAGGCCACTCACATTGTGGATAGTGCTCTGCTTCACTTGAACTCTACCAATTTAAAAGTTAATCACGTTTCTAAAATACCTTCATTGCAACATCTAGATTGGTGTTTGGTCAAACATCTGAGCACCATAGCCTGGCCAATCTAACACATAAAATTAACCATCTTGAAACCCAAACACTTGAAAAACCAGAGAAAACTCAGGAAAAAAGTAAAAGATGATGCAATCAGATGATTAAGTGGTGTCATAATGTATGTAATTTTTCTAAACATACTACTCATTAATAGAAGTTAGAGCATCAATTTGAATGTAGTTATTCTACAGTGGTTGGAAGTCAACCTCCCTGGTTAAAGAAAAAGGTATCAGATTTCATCTGTTTTTCTGAATCAGGTGAATGTTTTAAAGTACCTTGTCTCTAAGCCAGCTTTCACTACGACATTGCTTTTCAGAAAGCACTATTGATTCCTATGGCTACCTTGTGGTTGCTGCAACAAGTCTAAATTATTCCTGGGTCTCAAGTGAGACCCTCATCATCTGGCCACCACACTTAACCTTATTTCCTTCAATTCCCCAGCTGCAACTTCTACAGACTCTATACTATTCATGCTGCGTAGCTGTTATTTTCTTTTAGTCCACAATGACTTCCCCATTTTTCTCTGCCTATTCACCAAGCATAACTATCCTTCACAGATCAAATTAAGTTCTACCTAATCTATCAAATCACATTCATCTATGAATTCTTCTCTGACTGCTCTTGCCTATAGTATATAGCCAACCTTCCTGGTTAAGGAGAAAAGTATCAAATTCCATCTGTTTTTGCCAACAAACCTTTCTTTATTGAATACTTCATAATATAATAAAGTAACATAATATCAATGATACTAATGTAATAAATTCAATTCCATTAATTTTTTGAAAATTTTGCTGATATAAGGAAGAGAAACAATAAATATATTGTTCTAAGGAATTGCATCATTGTCCAAATGATTTATAGTTATAGGAGCACAAAATTTTATTTTCAGTAAAAATGTTTATTGAGCCTCTCAATAAATAGAAATAATTATATATAGTTATATGCTATACATAATATATAAAACATTATGTATATTGAGGGTTGTGTGTGTGTGTGTGTATAATGTATACCAAGGCTAGGCTCTTGAGATAAATATATCCTGGGCTAGGCTCTTGAGATAAATTAAGAAATACAATCACAATCTGGTAGGGAAGAAGAAACAAACCAAAGATCAAACTTATTTTCAATATATCATGATACCTGTGTAGCACATACATGAGCAAAGTACTTAGAAACCACCTAATGCAGCTGCGTTATTTCAAAGCTGAAAATATTGAGCTCGTAAAGAGCGTGTATATTTAGGTAGCGGAATCTGGGACTGGACTCTAAGCTGTTTATTGGTTGCTTCAACCTAATTAAAGTCTACAAAGAGAAAATTATCTACAGAGAAAATGTTTACTCAATAGCATAGCAAATCAGCACAGCTCTGGATTTCACCTGAAATACATCTCACCAAGCTCTCCGGCCAGGAATATGTTTTTTTTTTTTTTTCTGGTTATAGAGAAATGGCCCAGCCGGGGAGTGGTAGAGCATTAATCTCACCATTAAGGCTCTGACATTGCTGAGGTCTTTACCACCAGTGAGTAGCAATTATTTTTGTAGTAGAGGTCCATGTACAGAGAATTGATTCTCCAGTGCATATGAATATCCCCTATTAGCCCCACTTGATAAGTGGGAGCTGTGCTTTCGCCTGTCTACAATTGCCCAATCGAACAGTCTCTCTTCATGCATAAACATCACTCCTGCTATCACTAATGGGAAAGGGTTCCACAGGGCTGTGGAAAATAGAGCCCACAGTCTTTTGATAAATCTGTCAAATGTGACATGTTCTATGTGAAGAGCAGCACCATGGCTGATTAAATGAGCAACCCAGTGTACAGTACAATAATGTGTCAAAGCACTTCAGTGCAGACAGCTGTTTGCAGCTCTGGGAGAAATATCAGGACTTAAAATGAGAGTCATTAGCAGGAACCCAGGTAAAAATGTCCACACTGCCAACATCGCAGACATCTCTCATTGATATGCCTTTCATCTCCCTTCCCTCCTTTACCTTGTTTTGGTCACTCTCTTAGGACCAAATACATACATCTGGACAAGGAATTCTGTAGTACTGAGGTGACAGGCTGGAGACAAGAACACAGCTTACCTGTCATCTGTGTGGATGCAGCACAGGCCTACAACCTATCTCTGTCTGTCCTTCAACATTGTGACCACAGGACATGTTGTGCCTGGCAAAATTCTCACCAATCAAAGCTTTCCCTTGAGGGTCCCTGGTCTCCCTTCTGCATGCATGCACCCAGGACCCTCACACCGCTCCACAAGCCCCATCCAGTGTCTACCAGGATCCCTCGGAGCTCCCACCTCTCTATCATCTGCCTTGGGGCATCCAAAGAGTTTCTAAATTCGGTAGAATAAAGGCTATAGTGTTATTCCTCTTTTTTGTATTTTAAGTAATTTGATAAAAATCTTACATGAATTGGTTGAAAGCAGGCCGATCCTTAGAACAATAAAATTATCAGATCCCTTATTATGCTGATGAAATGGACTTATAAATAGCAGCTAAGGGTAATATTAAGAAATAACTGTACCTGGAGGCTAATTGTTACCAGAAATAACAGTTTGGCATTATCCATGATAAAATAAAATTATTGTATGAAAATTTCCAAATTGGAGAATATTTTTTAAAATAGGTCAATTCATTCAGACACCTGGAAGAATACTTTTCACTTAATAATTATAAATAAGAGTATTAAGTACCTACCACATACTTAGCATTGTGCTAAGTGTATTGCCTCATGTCAGTCTCACAATAGCATCCTGAACTACGTAGCACCCTTGCATATGCTTTATAAATAAGAAAACTTATAATTAAAAGAGTAATTTGCCTAAGATCCCACAGATAATAAATGATGGAGCTGGGATTTGAATTTAGGTTTATCCGACTTAATCACATGTGGGGCTGATGGCTAAACAACATTGTTTCTCATGAGCCAATTCATGTCCATGAAACCAAAAGAAAGGTACAGTGTTCTTCTAAAGTCAGTTGCCCTATAGGGCTCTTTGATGGTCTATGGGTCTAATTGGTACTACCAGTGCTTGCATTTTTTTTTTAGGTAAAAATAAGTTTCCTTTCATATTATGTGTCTAGAATGCTAGAATCTTCTCTGAGTATTTGCTCAAGCACGTAAAGAGATTAAACTCCATTTTAAAAATAGTAATGGCTTTGTTTATAACTATTCTCACAGCCTACCTCCATAGGTAAGGCTAAAATTGACATCAAAGTAATTTACAACATTTGAATGTCTGGTATCTAAAACTTACAAATTTCTTTTTAATAAAAAATGAAAAATATTCTCCCTTTAGTCTGATCACATAATTTAATCATGAACTAACTTTGATACTAAAGGTGATAGGAACTCTCATCTTTGAGCCAAAGCAGCAGGAGGAAACTCACTGAATTAAGCTTATCAGAAACGTGATGAACTAGAGTTGATCATGAACTGTAGTATCCCAGATTTTAGAAAAATGCTTTCTGTGAGTTACAATTTCATGTTACAACTTCAACTTTTATAGTCAATACACACTACCCTCCATTTATGGAAGAACTGTGTATCTTTTACAAAATAACTGAGCACATCATTTATCACGTTACCCAGTGTCCATTCCATAAAGATCCAAATGACAGATCCCTTCCAGAATTTATTGCAATTGTCTTTCCAGAATAACTTGTGGCCTCCACAATTACTATTCAATACATACCACCCAACCCCTGGATTTCCTATATTGTTTTTGTGCCAAGACTATATTGTGCTTTGTCCTTTGTGAAACATGGAGCCCAATATAATCTTAGCAATAGCAACCAACCAATCATGAATTCCTGTCAAATTTCTGCTGTTTCTCTAAATGATCTTTGATATATCTACTTTTTTTCTTTTTGATGTTTATCTTTACTGTCCAACTGTATTTATAGTTTAGTTTCATAAATTGTTGCTTATATTACATGGGTAAAGTCAATAGATAACTACAAATTAGACAGATGAATGGATAGCTATACACATTTACATAACATACATAAATAAATATATACACTGGGTTGTCGGCAAAGCCTGAGTCCTGTCCTCTCGCTCTCCACCCACCCCTCCCCCAACCCCAGAGAGCAAGAACTTCACCACTCGCTCCACCTTCTCCACCAACTACTGGTCCCTGGGCCCAGCTACAGGCTCTGCCAATTAGCAGCGCGGCTAGCCTCTATGCAGGCGCCAGGGGGCTCTGGTTCCCGGATGTCCGTGTCCCACTCCACCAGCCTCCGGGACGGCATAAGTTCCGGGGGCCTGGCGCGGGGATGGCCAGGGGTCTGGGAGGAATGGGAGGCATCCAGAACAAGAAGGAAACCACGCAAAGCCTGAATGACAGCCTGGCGGTCAGAGTAAGGAGTCTGGAGACTGAGAACCGGAAGCTCGAAAGCAAAATCCGGGAGCACTTGGAGAAGAAGGGACCCCAGGTCAGAGACTGGAGCCATTACTTCAAGACCATCGAGGACCTGAGGGCTCAGATCTTCGCAAATACTGTGGACAATGTCCGCATCTTTCTGCAGATCGACAATGCCCGTCTTGCTGCTGATGACTTTAGAGTCAAGTATGAGACAGAGCTGGCCATGCGCCAGTCTGTGGAGAGCGACATCTATGGGCTCCACAAGGTCATTGATGACACCAATGTCATCAATGGCTGCAGCTGGAGACAGAGATCGAAGCTCTCAAGGAGGAGCTGTTCTTCATGAAGAAGAACCACGGAGAGGAAGTAAAATGCCTACAAGCCCAGATTGCCAGCTCTGGGTTGACCATGGAGGTAGATGCCCCCAAATCTCAGGACCTCGCCAAGATCACAGCAGACATCTCGACCCGATATGACGAGCTGGCTCGGAAGAACCGAGAAGAGCTGGACAAGTACTGGTCTCAGCCGATTGAGGAGAGCACCACAGAGGTCACCATGCAGTCCGCCAAGGTTAGAGCTGCTGAGATGACATTCATGGAGCTGAGACGTACAGTCCAGTCCTTGGAGATCGACCTGGACTTGATGAGAAATCCGAAGGCCAGCTTGGAGAACAGCCTGAGGGAGGTGGAGGCCTGTTATGCCCTGCAGATGGAGCAGCTCAACCTGGATCCTGGATCCTGCTGCACCTGGAGTCAGAGCTAACACAGACCCGGGCAGAGGGACAGCTCTCCAAGCCCAGAAGTACAAGGCCCTGCTGAACATCAAGAACAAGCTGGAGGCTGAGATCGCCACCTACTGCCTCCTGCTGGAAGATGGCAAGGACTTCAATCTTGGTGATACCCTGGACAGCAGCAACCCCATGCAAACCATCCAAAAGACCACCACCAGCCGGATAGTGGATGGCAAAGTGGTGTCTGAGACCAACGACACCAAAGTTTGGAGACATTAAGCCAGCAGAAGCAGAGTACCCTTTGGGGACCAGGAGGCCAATAAAAAGCTCAGAGGTAGATAAATAAATATATATATATATATATATATATATATATATATATATATATATATATATGGACACATATATACACACACAGAGGTGGTACAGTAAAATGAAATTGAAGATGGGGACTTAGATTCTAATTCAAGATGGCTAACTAGAGACATCAGACATCCACCCTCTCCAGAAAGAAGAACCAAAATTATGAATAGACAGTTGTACCCCAAATAGAATATCTAGTAAAGAACACCAGAACTCAACAAAGAACTCACAGGAAACATCTGAGGCACTGAAGGGGAAGGAAGCAAGTGACCACTCAACCAAGGTTGGCCAGGAGCCTCACCTCAGGTGGCTCAGTATTGCTGGGTAAGAGTTAGCAAGAGAGCTTTGTTGCCCCACATCCCTGCCATGGACTCCTGCCATCTGAACTGCAGGAGAGCTCCTCTACCCATATGTACAGTGATACAAGTATGAGTGGCAGTTTGGAGACCCTGCGAGGTCATTGCACCAGACAGGAAACTCGCACTGGGCCAATTACTCCCCACCCCAATACTTGGACAGCTGTGGAGAGGGTGCCATTTGGGGAACGCAGCCATCACGGGACTCCATCTTACCCTAAGAACAACAGCCCTCATATCTCCATACCCTGGGAGCTCTCACTGACATTTCCCAGTGTCTACTAGGAGGGCTACAGCAGCACAGAGCTGGCTGGTCCCAAAGGTGCTACAGGGTCCTCAGTTCTCTAGCCCACAGGGAGTGCTACTCACTGGAGAAGAGATGGTACAAGTGCACCAAAAGGCAGCCCTCCAGACAAAGCAAAACAAGGCATGTGCTTTCCAGAGTTCAAGAGCTGCCTGTCTAAAACTGTGAGGAGTGACCCCACCCCCCAGGAGCAGCACAAACTCTGTGCTTGCCTTTGTAAGCGAAGGGTAAAATCCACTCCCACAGGTGGGGTGGCCTCTGTGCTTGGGCACTCAGGTAGGAAACAGGACCCCTACCCTTCCTCCACACACCCACTTCTGCTGCTGTCAAAGGCTGGGGCAGATGAGTTAGAGAACTACCTGTCTGGGGTGGTAAGTGGCAACTGTGACACCACTGGCAGAGTAGCCTTCTTGCCTTGGCTCATGAGTGAGGCAGGTCCCTCACCCCCTGCAACATGGCACTACAGCACTACTGCTACAGTGATCAGGTGAGCCTGAGAGCAGAGCGTCTGGGGCTATGGGGGTAAGTGAACCACAGCCACCACCACCACCATTCATTACCTGAAGTATCATCTCACCACTGCTACTGCCATTACACACACCACACTAGCTATCCAGAGGCCTGAGAACCTGCTCAACCACCCCCAGCCCACCACTGCCACTACCAGTACCTGAGCAAACCACCTGGAGTCCCAAGAATTGGCCCACCATTAACTGCCAATGCAAGTGCCAGTGTAAACTGCCCTGGGGCTCAAAGTCAGGTATGCATAGCCCACCACTGCCACCACTAGGGCCTGAATATTGGCCCATCTGGCTTCCCAGTCCCCCACAACTTCACCACAACCTCCATAAATGACTGCACCCTAACCCCGATGAGAAAATCACAGAAAGCACTAACACTGTTTATAGCCAAAGAAATCACACAGAGATTACACTACTGATTGCACCCAGAATCAAAGCTAAAGTGCTGTACTCAACCAACACCATGGATATATCTTTAGGAAAAGTTCTATCCTACAAAAATAAATTAAAAAATAGGAAGAAGTGACTATTACACAAGATGGGTAGATATCCACATAAGGACACAGAAAACATGAAAAGGCAAGGAAATATGACACCTTTAAAAAAACACAATAATTCTCCAGCAATAGATCTCAATCAACAGAATCTTCAAAATGCCAGATAAATATTCAAAATATTGATTTTAAAGAAGCTCAATGAGACACAAGAGACTTCTGAAAAACAATATTTAAAAAAAAATTTAATTAAGGATACAAATGAGAAAGTTACCAAAGAGATAGATATTTTTAAAAGAACCAAATAGAAATTTTAGAAATGAAAAATTCAGTGAAGGAAATACATAATATATTTGAAAGCTTCAACAATAGACTAGATCAGGCAGAAGAAAGAATCTCAGAACTTAAAGACAGGTCTTTTGAAATAACCCATTCAGGTTGGTCTGTGCAGCAAACCAGCATGGCACATGTTTACCTATGTAACAAACCCACACATCCTGCACATGTAGCCTGGAATTTAAAATAAATGTTGAAAAAATAAAAGAAAGAACCCATTCAGACAAAAATAAAGAAAAAATAATAAAACAGAATGAGCAGAGGCTTCATGACATTTGAGACAACATAAAATAACCAAATATACAAATTATCAGTATCCCCAAGGACAAAAAAAAAGCAGAGGAAAGATAAGAAAACCAATTTAAAGAAATGACAGATGAAAACTTCCTAAGTTGAGCAAAAGATTTAGTCATTCAGATAAAAGAGGCTCAATGATCCCAGGCAGATACAATGAAAAAAAGGTTTTCTCCACAGCACATTATAGTCAGACGCTCTAACATCAAAGATACAGAGTGAATCCTAAAAACATCAAGAGAAAGCCTGTAGTCACTTGTAAAGGAAGTCCCATCAGACTAACAGCAGATTTCTCAGAAGAATTCTTACAGGCCAGAAGAGAACGTGATAATATAGTCAAAGGGAGAAAAAAAAAAAAACCTGTCAGCCAAGAACACAATATTTACCAAAATTATTATTCATAATTGTCTTTCCCAGTAAAGCAAATACTGAAGAAATTCATTATCACTAGACCAGACCTACAAGAAACATTCATGGTAGTCCTATACCCGAAAGCAAAATAACAACATTTACTATCATGAAAACACACAAAATATAAAACCCACTGGTAAAATGATCACACAAAAAAGGAAGAGAAAGGACTCAAATGGTATCACTACAGAAATCAAACAGATCACAATGACAAACAATAAGAGAAAAAGAAACAAGGAATATATAAAACAACTGGAAAACAATATATAAAACAGCTGGAAAACAATTAACAATATGACAGGAATGAAGCTTCAATATCAATAATAACCTTGAACATAAATTAATTAAATTCTCCACTTAAAATATATAGAATGTCTGAATGAATTTTAAAAATACAATCTAACTATATGCTGTTTACAAGAAACTCACTTTACCATTAAAGACACATATAGCCTAAACGTAAAGGAATTAAAAAAAAACTCACACAAATGGAAACTAAAAATGAGGAGGAGTCACTATACTTATATCAGATAAAACAGACTTTAAGTCAAGAATAGTTTTTTTAAAAAGGACAAAGAAGGTTACTATATAATGATAAAGGGATTAATCCAGCAAAAGGATATATAAAAATTCTGAATATATATGCACCCAACACTAGAGCACCCAGATTCATAAAGCTAATATTGCTAGTGAGGTACTTCACAAAACTAGTAGGGTAATTCAATACCCCACTCTCAGCACTAGACAAATCATCTAAATAAAAAAAGCAACAAAAAAAAATTGGATTTAAACTGTATTTTAGACTAAATGAACCTGACAGACATTTACAAAACATTCTGTTCAACAAGTGAACATATGAAGCATTTTCTAGGACAGACCATGTTCAGCCACAAAACAGTCTAAACAAATTTTTAAAAATCAAAACCATATCAAGTATCATTTCAGACTACAATGGAATAAAACTGGAAATAAATACCTAGAGGAACTTTGGAAACGATACAAATACATAGAAATTAAACAACTTGCTCATGAATGACCACGAAGTCAATGAAGAAACTAAAATGAAAATCAAAGAGTTTCTTAAAATAAATGAAAATGGAAAAACAGCATACCAAAACCTGTGGAATACAGCAAAAGCAGTGCTGAGGGGAATTTGCAACAATAAACCCCTAGATCAAAATGTAGAAGTGCTACAAATTAACAATCTAATGACACATCTCAAGAAAACAGAAAAGCAAAAACAAAATAAACCCAAAATTAGCAGAAGAAAAGAAATAATGAAAATCAGAGTAGAATTAAATGAAATAGAGACTTAAAAATAGAAAGGATCAATTAAAAAAAAAGTTGATTCCTTTAAGCCACTAGCTACACTAACCAAGAAGAGAGAAGACCCAAATAAACAAAGTCAGAAAAAGGAGACATGGAAACCAATACCACAGAAATATAAAACAATACAGAGACTATTAAGAGCAACTATATGCCGACAACATGGAAAACCTAGAGAAAACGTATAGATTCCTAGAAACATCCCACCTCCCAAGACTGAATCGGGAAGAAATAGAAAACCTGAACAGACCAGTAATGAGTAGCAAGATTGAATCAGTAATAAAAAAGTCTCCTGACAAAGAAAAGCCCAGAACTGAATGTATTAATAGCCAAATTCTACCAATCATGCAAAGAAGAACTAACACTAATCCTCCTGAAACTCTTCCAAAAAATCAAAGAGGAAGGAATTTTCTCTAACTAATTCTATGAGGTCTGCATCACCCTGATGCCAAAACCAGAGAAGGACACAACAAGAAAAAAAATTACAGGCCAATGTTTCTTTTTCTTTTCTTTCCTTCTTTTTTTTTTTTTTTTTTTTTTTAGATGGAGTCTTGCTCTGTCGCCTAGCCTGGAGTGCAGTGACGTGATCTTGGCTCACTGCAACCTATGCCTCCCGGGTTCAAGTGATTCTCCTGCCTCAGCCGCCTGAGTAGCTGGGATTACAGGCATGCTCCACCACACCCAGCTAATTTTTGTACTTTTAGTAGAGATGGGGTTTCACCATATTGGTCAGGCTGGTCTCGAACTCCTGATGTTGTGATCCACCCGTCTTGGCCTCCCAAAGTGCTGGGATTACAGGTGTGAGCCACCCTGCCCAGCAGGCCAATGTTTCTGATTAACGTAGACACAAAAGCCCTCAATAAAATACTAGCAAACCAAATACAACAGTACATCAAAAAATAATAATAATATACCTCAATCAAGTGGGACTTATAACAAAGATGCAAGAAGGGTTTGCATACACAAGTCAACAAATGTGATATATCACATAAACACAATTTAGGACAAAAACCATATGATCGTCTCAATAGGTGTAGAAAAAGCATCTGATAATAATCCAATATTTTTTCATGATAAAAACTCTCAATAAATTAGACATAGAAGGAACACACTTCAAAATAATAAAGACCATATTCAACAAACCCACAGCTAACATCATACTGAATGGGAAAAACTTGAAAGCCTTTCCTCTAAGGACTAGAACAAGACAAGAATGCCCACTTTCACTACTCCCACTCAGCATAGAACTGAAAGTCCTAGCCAGAGCAATCAGGCAGGTGAAAGAAATAAAAAGAATCCAAACTGCAGGAGCGGAAGTCAAACTGTTCCTTTTTGCTGATGATATAATCCTATATGTAAAGAAAAAAAAACTAAAGACTTGACCAAAACCTCTTAGATTTGATCAACGAATTAAGATGCAAAATACAAAATCAACATACAAATCTCAATAGTGTTTATATAAACCAATAATAATCTAGCCAAGAAAGAAACCAAGAAGGCAATCTCATTTACAATAGCTACAAAAAATACTTAGAAATAAATTTTAACCAAGTAGGTGAAAGATGTTTACTAGGAAAATTGCCAAACACTAATGACAGAAATTGAAGATGACACAAACAAATGGAAAAACACCCCATGTTCAAGGATTGAGAGAATTTAAAATGATCATATTGCCCAAAGCAATCTACAGATTCAGTTCAGTCCCTATTAAATTGCCAGCATTATTCTGTACAGAATTAGAGAAAACAGTCCTAAAATTTATATGGAACAAAAAGCCTGAATAGCCAAAGCAATCCAGAGCAAAAAGAACAAAGCTGGAGATATGACATGACCTGACTTCAAAATATATTACAAAGCTACAGTAACCAAAATAGTATGGTGCTGGTATATAAAAATATATATATATATATGTAGACCAATGGAAAAAAAATAGAAAACCCAGAAATAAAGCCACATATTTATAGCCAAGTGATATTTAACAAAGTCAAGATCTTTGAGGAAAGGACACCCTCTTCAACAAATGCTGCTGGGAAAATTGGATAGCCACATGCAGAGAATCAAACTGGGCCCCTATCTTTCACGATATATGAAATTCTAATCAAAATGAATTAAAGACTTAAATGAAAAACCCAAAATATAAAAATACTAGAATAAAACCTAGAAAAAAAGCTATCCTGAACATTGAGCTAAACAAAGAATTTATGACTGAGCCCTCAAAAGCACAGGCAACAAAAACAAAAATTGGCAAATGGTACATAATTAAATTAAAAAGCTTCTGCACAACAAAAGAAATAATCAACAGAGTGAAAAGACAACTTACTTATTGAATGGGCAAAATATTTGCAAACGATTCTTCCAACAGAATACTAATATTAAGAATATTCAAGGAATTCAACTCAACAGGAAACAAACAAATAATGTCATTAACAAGTAGACAGAGGACCCATCAGTGTGCTGTATTCAGGAAACCCATCTCACGTGCAGAGACACACACAGATTCAAAATAAAGAGATGGAGGAAGATCTACCAAGCAAATGGAAAACAAAAAAAGGCAGGGGTTGCAATCCTAGTCTCGGATAAAACAGACTTTAAACCAGCAAAGATCAAAAGAGACAAAGAAGGCCATTACATAATGGTAAAGGGATCAATTCAACAAGAAGAGCTAACTATCCTAAATATATATGCACCCAATACAGGAGCACCCACATTCATAAAGCAAGTCCTTAGAGACCTACAAAGAAACTTAGACTCCCAAACAATAATAATGGGAGACTTTAACACCCACTGTCAACATTAGACAGATCCACGAGACAGAAAGTTAACAAGGATATCCAGGAATTGAATTCAGCTCTGCACCAAACAGACCTAATAGACATCTACAGAACTCTCCACCCCAAATCAACAGAATATACATTCTTCTCAGCACCACACCACACCTATTCCAAAATTGACCACATAGTTGGAAGTAAAGCACACCTCAGCAAATGCAAAAGAACAGAAATTACAACAAACAGTTTCTCAGACCACAGGGCAATCACACTAGAACTCAGGATTAAGAAACTCACTCAAAACTGCTCAACTACATGAAGACTGAACAACCTGCTCCTGAATGACTACTGGGTACATAAACAAATCAAGGCAGAAATAAAGATGTTCTTTGAAACCAACGAGAACAAAGATACAACATACCAGAATCTCTGGGACACATTTAAAGCAGTGTGTACAGGGAAATTTATAGCACTAAATGCCCACAAGAGAAAGCAGGAAAGATCAAATATTGACATCCTAACATCACAATTAAAAGAATGAGAGAAGCGAAAGCAAACACATTCAAAAGCTTGCAGAAGGCAAGAAATAACTAAGAACAGAGCAGAATTGAAGGAGATAGAGACACAAAAAACCCTTCAAAAAATCATTGAATCCAGGAGTTGGTTTTTTGAAATGATCAAAAAAATTGATAGACTGCTAGAAAGACTAATAAAGAAGAAAAGAGAGAAGAATCAAATAGATGCAATAAAAAAGTGATAAAAGTATATCACCACCGATCCCACAGAAATACAAACTACCATCAGAGAATACTACAAACACCTCTATGCAAATAAACTACAAAATCTAGAAGAAATGGATAAATTTCTCAACACATACACTCTCCCAAAACTAAACCAGGAAGAAGTTGAATCTCTTAATAGACCAAAAACAGGCTCTGAAATTGAGGCAATAATTAATAGCTTACCAACCAAAAAAAGTGCAGGATCAGATGGATTCACAGCCGAATTCTACCAGAGGTACAAGGAGGAACTGGTACCATTCCTTCTGAAACTATTCCAATCAATAGAAAAAGAGGGAATCCTCCCTAACTCATTTTATGAGGTCAGCATTATCCTGATACCAAAGCCTGGCAGAGACACAATAAAAAAAGAGAATTTTAGACCAATATCCCTGATGAACATCGATGCAAAAATCCTCAATAAAATACTGGCAAACCAAATCCAGCAGCACATCAAAAAGCTTATCCACCATGATCAAGTGGGCTTCATCCCTGGGATGCAAGGCTGGTTCAACATATGCAAATCAATAAACATAATCCAGCATATAAACAGAACCAAAGACAAAAACCACATGATTATCTCAATAGATGCAGAAAAGGCCTTTGACAAAATTCAACAGCCTTCATGCTAAAAACTCTCAATAAATTAGGTATTGATGGGATGTATCTAAAAATAATAAGAGCTATTTATGATAAAACCACAGCCAATATCATACTGAATGGGCAAAAACTGCAAGCATTCCCTTTGAAAACAGGCACAAGACAGGGGTGCCCTCTCTCACCACTCCTATTCAACATAGTGTTGGAAGTTCTGGCCAGGGCAATCAGGTAGGAGAAAGAAATACAGGGTATTCAATCAGGAAAAGAGGAAGTGAAATTTTCCCTGTTTGCAGATGACATGATTGTATATTTAGAAAACCCCATCGTCTCAGCCCAAAATCATCTTAAGCTGATAAGCAACTTCAGCAAAGTCTCAGGATACAAAATCAATGTGCAAAAATCACAAGCATTCTTATACGCCAATAACAGACAAACAGAGAGCCAAATCATGAGTGAACTCCCATTCACAACTCCTTCAAAGAGAATAAAATACCTAGACCAACTTACAAGGGATGTGAAGGACCTCTTCAAGGAGAGCTACAAACCACTGCTCAATGAAATAAAAGAGGACACAAATGGAAGAACATTCCATGCTCTTGGATAGGAAGAATCAATATCGTGAAAATGGCCATATTGCCCAAGGTAATTTATAGATTCAATGCCATCCTCATCAAGCTACCAATGACTTTCTTCAAAGAATTGGAAAAAACTACTTTAAAGTTCATATAGAACCAAAAAAGAGCCCACATTGCCAAGTCAATCCTAAGCCAAAAGAACAAAGCTGGAGGCATCACACTACCTGACTTCAAACTGTACTACAAGGCTACAGTAACCAAAACAGCATGGTACTGCTACCAAAACAGAGATATAGACCAATGGAACAGAACAGAGCCCTCAGAAATAATGTCACATATCTACAACTATCTGATCTTTGACAAACCTGACAAAAACAAGCAATGGGGAAAGGATTCCCTATTTAACAAATTGTGCTGGGAAAACTGGCTAGCCATATGTAGAAAGCTGAAACTGGATCCCTTCCTTACACCTTATACAAAAATTAATTCAAGATGGATTAAAGACTTAAATGTTAGACCTAAAACCATAAAAACCCTAGAAGAAAACCTAGGCAATACCATTCAGGACATAGGCATGGGCAAGGACTTCATGTCTAAAACACCAAAAGCAATGGCAACAAAAGCCAAAATTGACAAATGGGATCTAATTAAACTAAAGAGCTTCTGCACAGCAAAAGAAACTACCAACAGAGTGAACAGGCAACCTACACAATGGGAGAAAATTTTTGCAATCTACTCATCTGACAAAGGGCTAATATCCAGAATCTACAATGAACTCAAACAAATTTACAAGAAAAAAACAAACAACCCCATCAAAAAGTGGGTGAAGGATATGAACAGACACTTCTCAAAAGAAGACATTTATGCAGCCAACAGACACACGAAAAAATGCTCATCATCACTGGCCATCAGAGAAATGCAAATCAAAACCACAATGAGATATCATCTCACACCAGTTAGAAGGGCGATCATTAAAAAGTCAGGAAACAACAGGTGCTGGAGAGGACGTGTAGAAATAGGAACACTTTTACATTGTTGGTGGGACTGTAAACTAGTTCAACCATCGTGGAAGACAGTGTGGCGATTCTTCAGGCATCTAGAGCTAGAAATACAATTTGACCCAGCCATCCCATTACTGGGTATATACCCAAAGGAATATAAATTATGCTGCTATGCTCACAATAGCAAAGACTTGAAACCAACCCAAATGTCCAACAATGACAGACTGCGTTAAGAAAATGTGGCACATATACACCATGAAATACTATGCAGCCATAAAAAATGATGAGTTCATGTCCTTTTTAGGGACATGGATGAAGCTGGAAACCATCATTCTCAGCAAACTATCGCAAGGACAGAAAACCAAACACCGCATGTTCTCACTCATAGGTGGGAATTGAACAATGAGAATACTTGGACACAGGAAGGGGAACATCACGCACTGGGGCCTGTTGAGTGGGGGGAGGAGGGAGGGATAGCATTAGGAGACATACCTAATGTAAATGATGAGTTAATGGGTGCAGCACACCAACATGCTACATGTATACATATGTAACAAACCTGCACATTGTGCACATGTACCCCAGAACTTAAAGTATAATAAAAATATATACATATATAAAATAAAATTTTTAAAAAATTAAATAAAAAAGGTAGACAGAGGAAATAGACATTTCTTAAAAGAGGACATACAAATGGCCAACAGGTATATGAAAAAATGTTCCCTGTCACTAATCATCAGAGAATTGCAGATCAAAACCACAATGAGGTATCATCTTAACCCACTCAGAATGGCTATTGTTAAAAAGACAAAAAATAACAGATGTTGGTGAAGATGCACAGAAAAGAGAATTCTTATACAGTATTGGTGGGAATGTAAACTGGTACAGCTAGTATGAAAAATAGCATGGAGTTTTCTCAAAAATATAAAAATAGAATTACCATTCAATCCAGCAATCCCAGTACTGGGTATCTACCCAAGGGAAAAGAACTAATATATCAAATGGATATCTGCACTTTTACATTTACTGAAGTACTATTCAGAATATAGCAAAGATATAAAATCAAACTAAGTGTCTGTCAATGGAAGAATGGATAAAGAAATTGTGGTATATATACATAAGGGAATACTATTTAGCTATTAAAAAAGAATGAAATAATGTCATTTGTAGCAACATAGAAGGAACTGGAGGTTGTCTTAAATGAAGTAAGGCAGGCACAAATGAAAAATATCATACACTTTCATTTGTATGTGGGAGCTAAAAAGTTTGATCGCATGGAGGTAGAGAGTGAAAAGGCAGAAAACAAAGACTGAGAATCATGAATGGGAGAGCAGATAGGAGGGAGGGTGAAGAAAAATGTGTTAAAGGGTACAACCATACGGTAAGATAGAAGGAATATATTCAATGTTTAATAGTAGAGTAGGATGACTATACTTAAAAAAAATGTATTTACGACCGGGCGCGGTGGCTCATGCCTGTAATCCCAGCACTTTGGGAGGCCGAGGCGGGCGGACCACAAGGTCTGGAGATGGAGACCATCCTGGCTAACATGGTGAAACCCCGTCTCTACTAAAAATACAAAAAAAAATTAGCCAGGCTTTGTGGTGGGCACCTGTAGTCCCAGCTACTTGGAAGGCTGAGGCAGGAGAATGGCGTGAACCCGGGAGGCGGAGCTTGCAGTGAGCCGAGATCGCGCCACTACACTCCGGCCTGGGCGACTGAGCAAGACTCCGTCTCAAAAAAAAAAATGTATTGCACATGGGTGATGAACACCTTAAATACCCTGACTTGATTACTATGCATTATATACATATTATAAAATCACATTTACTCCATAAATTGGTACAAATAAAAAACGAAGATGGGGACTTGATTCATTAGTAAGCAATTATCCTTACAAGGAAAGAAAAGCTCTTCATTTTAATATTCTGCTTGCTTAAACACTGGCCAGCCATTTGCCACAAACAAGACAAAAATGTTTGGATGAGTCCAAGCCAATGCTTCATTGGAAAATCAACTTAAAATGCATGTCACACCAATTAGTCCCCAAGGAAAACACATTATAAGACAGAACCTGTGCATAGAACCACAGAACCACAGCATTGCATAATGTACATTGGAAAAAACGCATTGTTCTATTCATTTCATTCTCATAAAGCTCAATTTCAAATCTTAGACTGGAGGTAAATTTAGTGGCATTGTCCTAAAGGCTATTATTTGAATCTCTGCAACCTTGGGCATGTAGTATATGACTATTCACTAATAAAGTTATTTAGACTACAGGTCAGAAGGGTGTTCTGAAATCTATTTCAGAAGAATTACTGTAGAGTTTCCCGTTAGGAACATGGCAAAGTCTGAAGACTCTCTTGATACAAACTTTTAGAAACAGTTAATAAAAGATAGCCAGACTCCTTTTAAATGCTTAGCTGAGCTTTCAGGAATTAGAAGGTAATCTCTAGAAGCCAGAAAGAAAAGGGAATTTAAAAATCAGATAGTAGGACTTGAGCATACTCTGTGGCTGTCTTGTTTGGGGAAAGGGGAAGATTCTATCTTGGTCACTTATGGCCTGGTTTTTAGTATCCACGTGATGAACAAACATAAGGCCACCCTCTATGTAAAAAAAGGAGTTGAGAAAGAAGGCCGGGCACAGTGGCTCACGCCTGTAACCAGCTCATAAAACTGGGATCCTTGAAAAGCATATAAGGCAAAGAGGACAAGGGGGTAAATCTGACAGTAGGTACAGGAAGAGAACAAGAAAGGCCAAAGAATCTTACCGGTCTTTTTCTGGGCTCTGCTAGAAAAGAAAAACAAGCAAACAAAAAACCTCTCTTGAAAATTGTGGCCGGGCATGGTGGCTCACCCCTATAATCCCAGCACTTTGGGAGACTGAGGCGGGCAGATCAGCTGAGGTCAGGAGTTCGAGACCAGCCTGGCAAACATGGTGAAATCCTGTCTCTACTAGAAAAACAAAAAAATTAGCCAGACATGGTGGTGCATGCCTGTAGTCTCAGCTACTTGGGAGGCTAAGGCAGGAGAATCGCTTGAACCCGGGAGGTGGAGGTTGCAGAGTCAATATGGCACCACTGTACTCTAGCCTGGGTGACAGAGTGAGACTCCGACTTGAAAAAGAAAGGAAAATAAAGTATCAATCCACATATATTTTCTCCATGGTCAGATACTACGACATGGTCTAGGAAACTCCAAGCTGATAAGTAATACAGAACTTGATCATGAACCATTGATAGTCCTGGAGCACCTAGAAATGTCCAAAGCTCAGACCCAAAGGATTATCATAGAAAGAATAAGCCCTACCTAAAAGATGTGATCACAATGAAAAATTGCCAAACACAAAACAAATCAATCCAACATGCACAAGCCTAAGCAAGATTTGAATTGTAAGAACTTCAGATGATAAAACAAAAATCAGAAAGTGAATAAAGAATAAGTAAAATAATTAAAAACATAAAAGCCAGTTGTCAAGTTGCTTAAGCTAAAATAAGAGATTGGGGGGAAAAAACTGGAAAAAAAAAGCCATATAGAACTTACACAAATAAAAAATATAATCATTGAAATTAAAAAGAGAAAGAGACTGCAGAAGTAACAAAAACATCCATCAACACATGAACAAAAATGAATAAACAAATATGGCATAGCCATACCCTGGAATTTTTTTTTGGCAATAAAAATAAACGAAGTACTGATACATGCTACAACATGGATGAAACTTGAAAACATTAGGCTAAAAACATTATGCTAAAAATTCAATGGACAACTTAAAGAAAAGATTAGACACAGCTGAGAGAATTTGTGAACTATAATATGGATCTAAGGAAATTGCACAGAATAAGGCACTGAAAATCACAAAGTTAGAAAATATAAAGCAGTGATAAAGAGACATAACAGATAAAAATGAGGACTTTCAATACATGGCTAAGATCAGTTCCAAAAGAAAAGGATAGAGGGAGATAATTTGCAAGGACACAATAGCCAAAATTTCTTAGAAAAGATGAAATATGTAAATTCTCAGATTAAAGATGCATGTCCAGTGACTCTAAATGAGCATAAATAAAAATAAATCCACACCTAGACACATTATCCTGAATCCAAAGAGTACTAGAAAAGAGAAATGAATTTAAAAGCCACCAGAAGGCAGAGTAAATTATCTGCAAAGGGACAAAATTAAATAGATAACAGACAATAGAGGCTACATGACAATGGAATTATATGCTGAAAATATTTACAGAAAATAATTGTCAAACAAGAAGTTGTGTCTAACTAAACTATACTTTCTTAAACGTGAGAAAAAAATTGGCAAAAAGAAAGAAAATCTAAGGAAATGTACCACTTACAAATGTTCTCTAAAAGAAATGCTAAGTAATATTTAATGAAAAAGATAATTGAGCCTAAATTGAAGGAGTAGATGCAATAAACAATACTAAACAAATCAATCAATGAGCAAGTATGGACTTCATAAAATAACACCAACTAAATATAAGATAAAATGTAAATTAAAATATTACACATAATTACTCATATATGGCATGAGAGATTTGCAGATTTAAAAATTTAGCTTCTTTTGTCTTGAAAAAGTTAAAGATAACCAATACTTAACTTTAGGTTAAGTTAAAGATTTCTTACTCAAATTTTAAAGGTAGCTATTAAAAAAATACAAACAAAATCTTTATCTTCAAAACCATTAGAAAAGGGAAAAAAATGAAGACAAACAAAATTTAATACATTTAATTGGTACCCGTAGAGAAGGAAAAAAGCCAAGAAAAATGCAATAAATAACAGCATAAAAGTAGGAAGTAGAAACACAAACTCAAATAAATGTAGATAGACACAAACCAACAGCTGAAAAACAGGGATTCTCAGATTGGATTTAAAAAATTAAACCTAGCCATAGACAAATTAAATTAGGCACTGTTGATGCCCCTCATTCCACCTGAGTTCCCCCGCAGCTGCTACCTGTACCCTGACAGCTCCCCAAGTGTCCAGTTCCTTAGACTCTAATATCTCTGTGCAGGATCTGTATGCTAAAAACTGCAAAACACTGATGAAAGAAATTAAACAAATCTATATAAAATGAAGAGATATATCATGTTCACATATTTAATAATTTGATATTATTAACATGAAAATTTTTCTCAAATTTAAGTATAGATTTAATATGAACCCAATCAAAATCCCAAAGGAAAATGTTTGAAAAAGACCACAGTTGGAGGATGCATGCTATGTGACTTTATAATCTACTATAAAGGTATGGTTATCAAGACTAAACTTATAGTATCAGAATAAACCCACACAAATATGCCCAACTGATTTTTACAAAGATACAAAGGCAACTCGTTGAAAGAATAGGCTTTTCAACAAATGTTACAAGAACGATTAGACACTTGTATTCAAAAAGCTAATCAACCTATACTCACACCTATTAGTGTAATTAAATTAGAATAGATCATAGGTATAAAAGTAAAAAATGTAAAACTGTTAAAACTTTTTAAATAAATCAGAAAAAAAGCTTTTGACCTTGGGCTAGGCAAAGAATTCTTAGCCACAATACCATCAGCACAACCAATAAAAGACAAAAAAAAAAAACGATCATTTGGACTTCCTCATAATTAAAATTATTTGCTCTGTGAAAAACATAGTAGAATGAAAGGCAAACTACCAACTGAGAAAAAATATTTGCAAATCACATGTCTGACAAAAGACTTGTATCCAGAATATATAAAAAACTATCAAAACTCAGCAATAAAGAAACCAATAAAAGAATGGACAAAAATCTGAATGGACACATTATCAAAAAAGTTACAGATGACAAACACCTGAAGCACAATGAGAAACTGCTACACACTTTTTACAATGGCTAATATTAAAAATTCATAAATAAGTAACTGACCATGACAAGTGCTGGCGAGAATATAGAGCAACTGAAACTCTCACAGGGTACCTGTGGGAATGCAAAATTGTACAGTCACCATAAAAAGCTGTTTGATATTTCTTATAAAATAAAACACACTTGCTATACAGCTGAACAATTTCACTCCGTTTGCCCAGTTAGAAACAGACTATTGTATGTATATGAGCTCGGGACATGACAGAGCTGCCCTAACAAATCACTGGGGAAAGATGGGCTATTCAATTAAATGGTGATAAAATAATTACTGATGTATGGTAAGAGATGCAACTAGATCCTTACCTTGCATTGCAGACATGCATGCACACACACGCACGCACACACGCACACACACACACACACACAGAAATTGATTAAGACCTAAATGTGAAGAGTTAACTCTGCAATTTTGGAATGAAATATAAAGAATAATGTACAATATTTGGGTCGAAGAGAATTTTTTTTTTAGGTTTTGTTTTTTGTTTCTGCCAGGATCTCACTGTCACTCAGGCTGGAGTGCAGAGGTATGATCTCGGCTCACTGCAAGAGATTCTCCAGCCTTAGCCTCCCAAGTAGCTGGGACTACAGGCATGCGCCACCATGCCTGACTAATTTTTGTATTTTTTGTAGAGACAGGGTTTTTCCATGTTCCCCAGGCTGGTCTCAAACTCCTGAGCTCAAAGCAATCCACCCGCCTCGGCCTCCCAAAGTACTAGGATTATAGGTGTGAGCCATCACACCAGACACGAGGATTTTTATATAAACACTACACCACAATAAGATAAAAAAAAAAAAAAAAGATGCTAAATCTGACCATTGCAACTAAAAAATTTCAGTGTGAAAAAGATTCTTTAACAAAGGGGAAACAAACAAAAAAGATCACAGATTGGGAGATTTTGTAGTACTGTTTTGTAGAATTCTATGTTCTGTATTATACAAATACAAACAACTAATACCATCCAGGACATAGGAAGAAATCTTTAAAAAAAAAAAACAAGAAACAAAAATTTCAGTCAACCAGTGAGCAAAGGATATAAATTTAAATGTTATAAAACCCTGAATAGCTGTTAATTTATAAAATACACTTATATTTATATTTAGTCCTTCAGAGAAAAAATTCATGAAAAAAATCTGTGGCTTATTAATACAATGGAATACTATATAGCAGTTTAAATAGATGAACATATATCTACACAAACCTTAAAACATATTGTTGAGTGAAAAAAATAAGTTGCAAAAGGACACTTTCAGGGGAACATCAAAAATATACATTTTTAAATCATATTGTAAGTTTTCATGCATTTATAGTTTCAAAAACATTTAAAAATGCCTGGGAAAAGTTCACATCAATTTCTCAAAAGTGTCTTCCTCTGAGGGTGAAAATGTAGATATAGCCGTAGAGTGCTGTTTGTTTAAAATCTGTGTGTGTGTGTGTGTGTGTGTGTGTGTGTGTGTTGTGAAAGCGAGAAAGACGGAGAGAGAAAAAGAGAAGAGAAAGAGTTGAACTAAACACAGCAAATGTTAACAACTATTTAAACTTGGTGTTGCATATATTTTCTGTGTGTTTGAATTTTTTATAACTTTTAAACAATTTATTTAGAGAATCACAGCATTTCATACATGTTTTAAACAATGTCAAAATTATTACAGCACTCAGTTATCCTCCCAAATAGCTCCATAAAAGGGCAACATTCTTATGTGCTTCTGCAAAATAAACTTTATTCCTATTTCGTATATCACTCTTGTTTAAAGATTGAAGTAAGCCCGGCACAGTGGTGGGTGCCTATAATCCCACCTACCCGGAAGCCTGAGGCAGGAGTTCAAGACCAGCCTGAGCAACTGAGGAAGATTTTGTCTCAAAAAGAGAAAAAAAATATAGGTTGGAGTAAAACACTGAGCTTTAATATCATTAAGAATTAAATTCATATCATTAAGAATTTCCAGCCAGGCGTGGGTGCTTACACCTGTAGTCTCAGCATTTTGAGAGGCCAAGGTGGGAGGATTACTTGAGGCCAGGAGTTCAAGGTCAGCCTGGGAAAGAGGAAGAACCTGTTTCAAAAATAATAATAATAATAATAATTTCCCAGGAACAAAAGGGGCCATAGTTTAACACTAAAGCTATATCACTTATGACCTGTCTCTTCAATGTTCTTATCTGTATTTAATTATTGGGCATTGTATATTCTTTCAGCAAATATTAGAGTAACACTCTAAGAACATTTCTTCCTTTTGCCTGAGGGGGCAGAGCCTTAGGTAAAGCAATGAGATTAGGAATGGAAACTAAGGAGAGTCAAGATTTTAATTGTATGCCCCAGTCTAGTTGCCCCCACTGATGCCCATAATTTATAAGAAGTTTTCAAAGCTGTACCCAGGAAATGATATTCAGAAAAGTCTTCATGTTTCCTCCGCTTCTTGCAGGATGCCATGAATTATTTAATCTTCTAGAATTCCTTAAGCTTTTTGCAAAAAAAGTTTTCCCTCTACTTTGACAGTCATATCACTTTTTTTTCTTCCGGTGTCTTCATGAAACTCTTGATGTGAAAACCTCGCCTTCCTAGACAACTGCTATTTGAAATGAAAAGCTGCATGGGTCTTGTCAGCCTCCATCTTACACTATTTAATTTTCACTGTGGAGTTCACAAAATGGCCATTTCTATAATGCATTTCATGTTTCCGGATAGAAGATTGCTAGCACAGTAAATATCCATCTAAGCCTCTTTCTCATCAACAAAACATGTCGTTTGTAGTACCCACACATCAACAGAACTTCCTCAAGCCTGCCACTATTGCTTTTTCATAATTATATTTTATAATCCTCCTTTACACACGAGAGCTCAATTCACTTCCTCCTACAATGCATTAGCATCCTCTTCAAATCCATTAGTGGTATCACAAGCTCCACAGCATCATTCCCTCTTCAAAATATTTTATTATTAAGTTACTGTACTGCGAGCTGGGAGTCTATGAATATTTAAGCAAGGCATCGTATGTTTATGTACACTCTGCCAAGACAAAAAAAAAAGCCTATTCACCCTAATATTTTGGCAGTGGATTAAAGCTGCTATGTACCTTAAGAAAAATGTTTGCTGAAGTTGCAAATGATTGTTAAAAATAAGTATATAATTTATTTTTAGAAATTCTTGATGATTTAATCCTTACCTGTTCTTCAGTCTGCAAATGAAGTGTCACTGCCAGCTAGCAGCAGGGATAGGAACAGGCGAACTGACTCTAGTATTCCAAGACACGTGGACAGTCCTTAGCACTGAAAACTCATTTCAGTTTTGCTGGCTCTACTTCACTTTTTAGCATTTGAAACTCATCAGCTCTACGTATTGTTGGTTATGGTAACATAACCAACATTATTGTTTATAATTCTCTAAGCTATACTACTCTCTTGAGTTAATTTGGTACATAGATAGCCACTAATATCCATTAACTTCATCCGGAATAATTATATGATTTGATGCACTGCATAGTTGAGATGCAAAGACACAAAAAGGAGAAAGAGACTGCAGAAGTAACACCAATGTCCATCAATAGATGAACAAAAATGAATAAACAAATATGGCATAGCCATACCCTGGAATATTTTTTGGCAATAAAAATAAACGAAGTACTGATAGATGCTACAACATGGATGAAACTTGAAAACATTATGCTAAGGAAAAGAAGCCAGTCACATACACAGACACAGACACAGACACACACACACACACACACACACACACACACACAACATGAATTATATAATGAATTCATAGGAAATGTCCAGAATAGGAAAATCTATTAGTGGTTATTTAGGACTATGGGTCTCAGAGTGGGGGATAAGAGACAATGGGGTGATAGCTAAAGGGTAGAGCGTTTCTCTTTGCGATGCTGAAAACATTCTAAAATTGACTGTGGGGATGGTTGCACATATCTGTTAACTATACTAAAAACCATAGAATTGTCCAGTTTACATGAGTAAATTATATCATGCATAAATTATATCTCAATAAGTTTT
Organism: Homo sapiens; assembly: GCF_000001405.40. Taxonomy (NCBI): domain Eukaryota; kingdom Metazoa; phylum Chordata; class Mammalia; order Primates; family Hominidae; genus Homo; species Homo sapiens. The sequence continues at coordinate 19,633,787 of NC_000006.12, forward strand.
TTTTTAGAAAATGAATTTAGTAATCAATTTGATTTTCTGAACAAAAAAGGCATGAATTAATTCATTAGTTACACCATCTTGGACCCTTGCCATCAGGTTCTCAAGGTGTGTGTGGAAAGGGAGGTGGGATGGGAAGAGTATTGATGTATGAGTTGACAAGGAAGGGAGGACCTAGAGCAGAAGCACTGTGCAGTTTATCAAACTACATGCACCTCTTCTCCCTACAGATAGAGTGCAGTTCCCCACCCCTATGTCAGGAACTACTGCTCCATGAGGAAGCTATTGATGGTGGTGGGTCATCTATCTAAAAGAGCGGTTGAAAATGTCTGTTCTACTGATGGTATCAATAAGGTGCTAACAACAATAAACAAAAGCAGTGATCAACATTAGAGATTTATTTAAGGAAATGTAGCTACCATGCTATCATTTAACAAAGATAATTGGCAACCTGTTTCTCTTTAGCAATGTTTGACCTTATTCCATACAGATTAATGCTCACAATAAGGCAGCGGGGGGTAGGGGGCATTTTTTTAAGCCAAATCAAGCTGGCAATATTTATGTCAAGCCTGATCCGCAGTAAAAGTTTCCGAAGGAAACATGATGTGGAGAGATGAAATCATTGTGTAAAATAAATAAATGCTAACTTTATGAAGCCCTGTGTATTAGGTTTCCTTCCCTGTTTGATTTTTTCGTTTGATGTTGAGAGTTTTCTTGAAACCATTCTTCCTTTGTTCCTTTGACACTGTGTCAGCTACTGCTGCCTCTTTTCAAATGATACCTAACTCTTGCATAGTATTTATTATGTGTCAATCACTGTTCTAAGGGTCTTATTTACCCCATGTAATCCTCTCAACAACTCTGTGATATGGTACTATTAACTCTATCTTTAAACATGAGGAAATTCAAGGGCAGAAGTTTAAGTAACCTTCCATTTATACTCTTTCTGCCCCGTCTTGAAGTGGCTTCTGACTCCTTCATGGAACATGGGCCAGGGGAAATAGAAGTTTTCATTCAACTGATAATTGTTGTGAGTTGGCATCCTACACTGAAAGTCAGGAGGGTGGTGAGAAGTATCTCTCTCAGGGGTCATTTTGTGGGTTCTTGGAGACTCCCATCACTGGGAGAACTTTCACCTGCAGTTCCCTTGAGGCTGGCAATGCAATGATCCTCGGTTACTACTGCCTCTGCTCCTGCACTCAAGGAATTAGACAGATTGGGTCTGTTTGGTGAAGTCTGTTTCCTTCTTCAAAGATGATCTGACCTTAGAATCTGAGATCATCTCAAGCTGATGTTCTTTCTCTTACTTGTCCCAAATTTAATGCACAGGAAACATTCATTTGTCTCAGCAGCACCTGCTAATTCAGGCTATATAACACTGCAGTCACTTCTTCCTCAACTTTTCCAATGGAAGTCAGCCAGTGGATCCCATGCCTGTTACACATCTTAGGTAGGAGTTGGATTGTCCCCTGGGTCTTCTCACTTTGAGGAACATGCATCAATCCTCAGGATTATCTCAACGAGTCCTTTCTTAGTAAGTTGAGGAACTGAACTCAATTAATATCTCTTATTGTGATGAGGTGGGAAAGAAGAACTCACAGAACCCATGCAGGTCTCCCTAAAAATTCTCTCTCTCTACATGTTCCCCTTTCTGGACCCTTTTATATCCTTTATTTTTAGGGAGGAAGTTAAACGTTTTCTATATGGTTTTTGCCACCCACTTTTAAACTCTTAGTTTAGCACCACTTCATTTTGGAGACATACAATGGTGTCTGAAACATCTATTTTATGTATATGTTTATATATAACATAAAGGTATCTTCATGTTTATTTCTGTTTCCTCTATAGAACTATTTGTTCACTGATGGCGTGAACCAGGTCTATTGTATTCACCATACTAGGTGAATACCTACATAATAGGCATTCGTACAATATTTGTGCAGTGAATGAAAGCATAAACATGTATTTTTTACTTACTCATACAAATATAGAGAGATAGCTCAGAAAGACACACAACCCAGCTCTAACTATGAAGCCATATGGTCCCAAAAGCAATTATCATTTTTTTCTACCAAAAAAATTGTTTTTTACATTTTGAGCCTTTTCTGTAAATCCATCAGTTAAGTAACAAACATTATTTTCAGAGTTCTACACAGTTCTGCCAAAATGTCAATCACGCCGTGACACAAACAGGCACTTTTTAAAATAAAGCAATTTACAATACAATTGTATACTAAGTGCCATGAATTCTCAGCTGTACAAAAATATCTGGCCTCTCTGCTAATGAAATGAAGGAAAATATAATTGACAGTTATCTTATGAGATTTCATTGTAATGCACATGATGCTATAATAAATCTGGTTACTGGAAATTCTGTGGTACACTGTTTAAAGGATATTAATTGATTGCCTTGGAGTCAGCTTATTTTGAAATTCCTGTTGGTGATCTTTGATACAAATGTACTATACATATGAAGTAGGTTATAACAGGTCTTTTCTAAGCCCAATGCATATGATCAGTGAAATAGGAGTTTTATAAAAACCTCAGTTACCATCTATGGCCAATTTATAACAGATGTGGCAATAAAAATTGCAATGTGAAACTAATAAAAAGATTCTCCATATTAGCCTTTCCATGGTACCTTTTCTGGATTAGTAATTCTAGAGCAAATAAAGGAAAACTAACTCTCTGCAAAACAAAACCACTCAAAAATTTAAAAAATGAAATAAAATAAATTTTTAATATGAAATAATTTGACAATTGTGTCATGAGTGAGAACTTAACTTTTAAAATGTAGGGGCTTTGGGCTGGGTATGGTGCCTCACGCCTGTAATTCCAGTATTTTGGGAGGCCGAGGCGGGCAGATCACGAGGTCAGGAGATCGAGACCATCCTGGCTAACACGGTGAAACCCTGCCTCTACTAAAAATACAAAAACTTAGCCAGGCTTGGTGGCACATGCCTGTAGTCCCAGCTACTCAGGAGGCTGAGGCAGGAGAATCGCTTCAACCTGGGGGGCAGAGGTTGCAGTGAGCCGAGATCGCATCACTGCACTCCAGCCTGGGTGACAGAGCGAGACTCCGTTAAAGAAAGAAAGAAAGAAAGAAAGAAAGAAAGAAAGAAAGAAAGAAAGAAAGAAAGAAAGAAAGAAAGAAAGAAAGAAAGAAAGAAAGAAAGAAAGAAAGAAAGAAAGAAAGAAAGAAAGAAAGAAAGGAAGGAAGGAAGGAAGGAAGGAAGGAAGGAAGGAAGGAAGGAAGGAAGGGAAGGAGGGAGGGAGGAAGGAAGGAAGGAAGGAAGGAAGGAAGGAAGGAAGGAAGGGAAGGAAAATGTAGGGGCATTGTTGGTTTGATTTTAAGAAAACAAATGTGAGGGTATTGTTTTTTCCACTGTTGGTGTTTTTACAGCAACACCCTAACAAGATTCATTAACATAAAAGTTGGGTGGAGGTTTACAGCATGCTTCAGAGAGAATCTTCAAAATTTGTGAACGTCAAGTTAGCAAAGTGAGTTGTGAACATTGCAATCTAAAGTACTCCAGAATACCTATACTTAAGGTAAAAATTTCATTCAAACATACAAACTTAATTTAAGTAACATATAGAAAAATATGTAGATGTTTTAATAAACTTATTTTTATTATTCCAGTCATGTCTTTGATAGAGTGTAGACATAATTTGGGTTCTGAAACCAGGCATTGGCAGATGCACAGAGCAGGGGCTGAAAAGAAACAAGGAAGGAGCATCTAGATGTAACATGATGAGGAAGAGCAACTGGGCAGAGCCTACCAGAGGTCGCTACAAAAGGATGGAATGCTCGAATGGTCTTCAAGGTTCCATCCTTGCTGCTCACCTTCCTCACTTCATATCCTTTCCTGGTTCAATGCATCCACTCCCTGGAGTAGCAGAGACTGAGAGTGGCCTCCAAATATTCACTGTTCTCCCATATTTGGTTGTACACCAGTCTGTAATTCTTAATTAAAATTAGCTAAAAAATTATCTTAGCTAATTTTAATTAAAATTAGCTAAAAGATATTGCACTTTTCAAGTGTATGGGTGAGCTTAATAATGTTTAACCATGGCTTTATTAAGTGAATGCTTGGGTCTTCAACATTAAATTCAACTTACTTCACATTAATGTTTGCAAATACATTATCATCAATTCTTACATAATTCACATCAACCAACTTGAAGTGCAGAAGGCTTGCACTCAAATAACTCTTCTGAGGTGACAAAGAAGCCCAAGACTTGAGTCCAAGTCTCTAACCAACAATGACTATATCAACACTGGTGAACTCATATGAAGGAACTTCAAGGTTGGGAGGTGCAGGCCCCTTCCTAATCCTGCCAAAAGCATCATAGTGTGACCCATGGCAAGGGCAGTAATAATTACCAGAATCTCCTGCAAATGCAGTGAGTACATAACCAAGGCGAATGCAAACACTTATCAGGATAACCTACTTAAAGTTATGGGGTACATGTCCAGAACGTGCAGGTTTGTTACATAGGTATACATGTGCCATGGTGGTTTGCTGCATCCATCAACCCGTCATCTACATTAGGTATTTCACCTAATGCTATCCCTCCCTTAGACCCCCACTCCCTGACAGCCCCAGTGTGTGATGTTCCCCTCTCTGTGTCCATGCGTTCTCATTGTTCAACTCCCACTTATGAGTGAGAACATGTGGTGTTTGGTTTTCTGTTCTTGTGTTAATGATGGTTTCCAGCTTCATTCATGTCCCTGTAAAGGACATGAACTCATCCTTTTTTATGGCTGCATAGTATTCCATGGTGTACATATGCCACATTTTCTTTATCCAGTCATCATTGATGGTGATAGACTGCATAAAGAAAATGGGGTTTCTTTACTTGTTCTAAATCATGCTGTGGATCCCTCAAATGGGACCTTTCAACTGCAGCTTCCTAGTTAGTTTCCTTTTTGGTTCTGTGGCCCACAAACAGGAGTTTGCCTCTATCTTTGAAAGCCATATTCTTGCCTTCTGGAATATCGGATAACTTGAATTTGATTTTGACATGGCCAACACATCAGCAGAAGCCCTCACGCTGGGAACAAACTAGGGGAAGACATTGTTGGCACCATATGCGATAGTAGCTGTTGCAGTTGACAAATAAGAGTAGCCTTTTCTAGCCTTGCTGCTTTTTTTTGAAGACTTTGTACTATCTAAAACTTCAGTGCAATGCTACCCAGAAAAGGCAAGCACTTTGATGTCCATAAGGGAACAATTAACAGAAGCAGGGACATTACGGCCCATGTCCTGGCCACCCAGCGGCTCCTGGCACAGGAAGGGCCGCTTCATGTCCAGCACAGGCAGCTCCGGGGCAGCAGGCACCGCGGCCCACACCAGGGGCCACAGTGCACCCGCCACTTCATGGCACGTGGCCAACAGGATGGGCGCTAATCTACATTTATAACAGAACTCCAACTAGCTGGGCATATATCCATCCAGTTAAATTACTACATTACCCAGAATCCCATGACTTGACTATGTTCTAGTCAATGAGAAATAAACAGAAGTGTGGTGCTTCCAAGGAGTTTCTTTTGAAAGGAAGATCACAGCCCTCTTTTCTTCTCCAAATTGCAACCCATAACAATATGCAAACATATGAATGTTAGAACTCTGGCAGCAGCTTTTGCCCTAGGTAGCTGAGAAGTGAGCTGGAAAGAGATAAAATTGTTGTAGAGTTATGATTCTCTCTCTGAATTATATATCTCTAAAATTCTTTTAGGTGAGATAGAAATGCATTTTTGTCTTCATTAAGTCACTGTTACATGCAGTACATGTAGTAAAATCGAATCTTAACTCATAAGTGTGGCTTTAGGACACAACTCCAAAATCAATGCTCCAAACCCTGCTTTCTTCCCAAAGATTATGACCTAAATATCCAGCCACCTTCTGGATAGCTTTATCTGAATATATCAACACTCCCCCAACACACACACACACACACACACACACAAACTTAGCAAGAATAAAACACAACTCATATTTCCTCCAAAATATGCTCTTTATGCTGTATTTCCTAGCTCAATTTGAAGGAAGATTCAACCATTTATTTGCTGAGTGACATATCAGGGGAATCTTTTTGCTTCCCATTCCTTCCCATCTGCCAGTAACCAGCATTCCTCCTGCAAGATGTCTGGGATCTTCTTACCAGCAGCTATCACGTATTGCTCTCTCCATCCCATTGTCACCATTCTGGTTTTGACCCTTACAAAGCCTTGCCTGAATCATAGTAACAGCCTCTTAACTGGTGTGCCTGCCTCTAGTTTCAACTCTACTAACACCCTTCTACAATCCTATATGAAAATCTAATAGCATCATTTCCTGGCTTAAAATCTTTTCATGGCTCTCATTAAGGATGGAAAAAAGCCAAGTTCCTTGGCATGGTATTCAGGGCCCTTCAGGATCTAGCCAGCACTGAGTCCCCTAAAGCAAATCCTAATATAGCTCTCTTTACTATCTTCTCTTATTGCCCACTAAAGCAATACTCAGTCTCTGGAAAGCTAGGCTTTTCCAGTCCCCAGCACCTTTGTCATAGCATTCTCTTCATCTGGAATGACTTTTCCCCTACTTACATGTCCAAATAATTCACCTAAATATACAGCTCAGGTGACAACATTGCTGTGAAGCTGTCACTGATGTCTTCCCAATAAAATTCATATATACTTTTAAACTTGTACCTTGAAAGTTGCATGGCAATTGTTTATCTGCAAACTTGACTCCGATGATAAACTGTGAAGTGGTTAGATCGAGGATTATGTCTATTCATCTTGGCAGTCCCACCTGAAAAATAATAGGTATTTATTCCAATGGTAATAATAATAATAGCCAACTCTAATTCAGAATATCCTATACACTGACACCTTTGTAAGTACTTCATTTGTAGCTCAATTAATTACCAATGAGGAAGCACTATTACTATTTTACATGTAAAAACAAAGGCACAAACACATAAAGTAACATACACAGCTAGAGAGTTAGGCTTCGGATCTAGGAAGCCAGCTTCATATCTGTGCATTTAACCTTGGAATGGCTACATTAGGATGCTCCCAAATGAGCATCTTTGCTTTCTTCTAATCTTTCTCAAATTGTCCAAGACCTTATGAGGTTCAAAAATAGATGCTAAATCTATGAGGAGAGGGTGGAGGTCAAAAGAAATGTATTCATATTTGCTAGAAAAAAAAACAGATTGCCCAATTTTAAAAAATGGATAGCCCAACATAGATATTTCCAAACATAGAAGATGATCAGAACTCCCTAGGGAACTTTGTAAAATATGCATTCCCGGTCCCAACCAAGATCTAGTAAATCGGCATCCCGAAAGTTAAAGGAAAATTTGTTTAAAGTAAATACAAAATTTCTGGGAATTTTAAGCAATGCGTTGCTATTTAGACTCAAGTCCAGAAATATATTTCCATACTATGTCTCCAAAATTCCCCAAACGTGCAAGTCTAATTTATTAAAATGTGAAATTAGCTACCTTGGCATTGCTCATTCTCAGTGAACCCATGCTGGCTCCTCGTGACCATTCCTCCACAAACTGTCCCTTCCATAACCTACTACAGAGGGTTGCAGGATTATCAGTGTGCAGTTTTGCAACTTTAAAACATATATTTTGTCTCCTTTATGATGATTGAGGCAACATTTTCCATTCAACGGTATTTCCTTTCTCCCTAAATTCTCAAAATATTTCTGGCAGTAATTCTACAAGTTACTTCTGTATCTTAGGGTGTAATGGATCTAAATCCAGTGTGAGGAACTCATTTCAAAGAACTGGGCATTTTCTTCCTCTTAGCCATGTTTGTCCTATTCTTTCAAAATGATAGAGAATTTAATAATGTTATTCTTTAAAATATTATTTTATGTTGATATGACTTCGTATTAATTTAAAATGTTTTTTAGTGTTAACTGTTTTATTCATATTTTATTTTAAATAAATTTCTTCATGTAAATTTACTGAAGAACGAGCAATTCAGACAAAAGCACTATGAGGAGGGAAAGAGTGTATCTATCACATAAGATGTGGAGAGATATAGGCTATAGCTTAAATGCTTGACTTCCTTTAACCTGTATGATACAAGTTTAATTGAATTTTGTTAGTTAAAAAAAAAACTGTTTCATGGAGAAAGTGAGATTAGTGTCAGAATTAGAACACAGATCTTCTGATTCTTAAACTGAGACCCTTCTCCCCTTATCACCTAAGTGGTTTTCAATGCAGTATAATGCACATACAACACAAGTTTGAGCATTTCTTGAGTTAGAATGATTGTGTCTGACAATCAAGGTTCAAAGGCAGAAAATATCCATTACAAATAAAGTGACTCTGGACAGGTCCCCTATCCTCCCTAAAATCCAGTTCCTCATCTTAAAGTTGTCCACATCTCATATTCTCACTATTTGTGTTGAATCAAATGAGTTAACACATATAGGGCTTTACACAGTGTCTGGGGATATTATTATTAGTCAGATGATATCCCTTAACATGAATACTAGAATTGCAATGACAGAAATAATTCTTGGCATAATTATCTGGTCTAAAACAATAGAACTTGTTCTATTTTCTGAAATCTTCCTTCTCATCTTTCTCAAATGTAATTGCTATATTTATTTTCATTTATTTCTTTTAAAATATGGAATGTTTTTTATGAATTTGCATGTCATTCTTGTGCAGGGACCATGCTAATCTTCTCTGTATCCAATTTTAGTATATGTGCTGCCAATACCAGCACTAATTGACATATTTAAATATATCTATTTTTTATATCTCACAGAATTGTATGAAACAGCGTTAGTATTTGGCATTTTGAACTAATCAAAAGCAAGATGCTTAAGAATTTAACTCAAATTAACATTAACATTGCCACTTTCACAGGGATGGTATAAAAAGTTATGATGTTACTAAAGACTCAGCTGGATTCCCGTCAGTGCTAATAATGCTTGAACTTCATCAGCTATTAGTACAATTTAAAAATGCTTTCAACATTTCCTCACAAACCACACCTCCTCCTAAATAATTTCTCTTGATCATTCTAAAGCATGTCTTTAACTTGCTGACTCCATCAGCTCATCAGACTGAATAGGACAAACAAGGAGAGGAACCTGGACCCCTCTCCCAGTCAGATATCATCAGAATGCAGAGCTTCTACGTTCTCCAAAGAGGAACAAGGGATTTACTTATAAGAAATAATTCCCGGCCAGGTGCAGTGGCTCAAACCTGTAATCCCAGCACTTTGGGAGGCTGAGGCGGGTGGATCACCTGAGGTCAGGAGTTCGAGGCCAGCCTGATCAACATGGAGAAACCCCATCTCTACTAAAAATACAAAATTAGCTAGGTGTGGTGGCGCATGCCTGTCATCCCAGCTACTTGGGAGGTTGGGGCAGGAGAATCGCTTGAACCTAGGAGGCGGAGGTTGCAGTGAGCAGAGATCATGTAATTGTATTCCAAACTGGGCAACAAGAGCAAAACTCCATCTCAAAAAAAAAAAAAGAAAAGAGAAATAATTCCCAAGTCCCTTGATATGAGACATGGCATTGGGTCTCCAATTATTACAGAGTAAATTAAGCTTTATTTCATTTAATTTTTGTTAAATCAATCATTTAATGTTTAAAGTAAATAGAGTGGGTGCTATATAATATGGTTGCATTGGGGAGACAGCAAATGAAGAGTGTCCCACACAAATATTGATGGAGTCATCAATTTTTTAAAAATTAAAAATCAAGACTTGAAACAGTGCAGTACTGAATTTTTGTAATTAACTATGATAAAAGTCTAACAATCAGACATTTCTCTGCAGTAAATTTTACATCTCCCTTAAAAATTTCATACCTTTCATGTCCATTGTGACAGATCAGAGGAAAAGTACGAGGGTTTATATAACACGTTAAATATAAAAGTTATCTAGCTTCAAGTGAAACTACTTTTTTATTCAAAATAATTCAACAATAACCCTTCATATATGATTGATCATTAAATCCATCAAAGACACAGTACAGGACAAAATTTTTATCACTACCTAGTAAAATCTGTCTAAAGAAATTCTAGTGAAAAGAAGGCATGATTAAAGTATTTCAGTTCCCTTTAGGGGTATGTAAATGTAGGTCAGTATGTTTCAGTGGTCAGAAAGAGGTTAATGCCAGCTCTAGACTTACTCAAAAGGTCCATTTGAGGTTATGATAATTTTGATAGCACGGTAATAATTTCCGGACATCCCCCCACCTCACCATTTTCCCAAACCTTGAGAAAGCCTTCTGATTCTTCCCATATATGCCACTTTTACAAAGGAGCAGAGCCTTTGAAAGAAAAACATTTTTGGCTCTGTTAATGCTAGTGTATTCTTCCAGCCCAGTATTCAGCGTTCAGGACTGGACAGGCAATTACATGCAAATTTGTCGGGAGCTAGGAGGTTCATTTACTACATTCAACCCCATAGAGGAAGATCAATAGAAGTGCAAAACTTAATCCTAGATGAAAGCACCATGTTCAGGTAATGGTTATAGAGTTAAGGCCCTCAGAAGAATGTTAGGAATCAAAAGGGCATGCTAGAGAAAGGCATTATGCATAGTGCTTTTTTGAACCATATGGGAAAGACAACAGACAAAGTGAACCAAAGAGTTGGAATACAAGAAGGTAGACATGCAGTTCAACACAAATTGTTAGGGTTTTTCAAAAGATATGAATGAGGATTGGACCAATTAAAAATGGCTGCCTCGAAAACCTTTTGTTGGTTATTTAAAGAATAGTGGGGTACAAACAATTGCTCAAATGTAAACCATGCAAGCCATGCTTGCATTTAACTCTGAACTAAAAGGGGGACTCCTTACTGCTAGTTTTCCTGTCTCTTAGTTTTTGTGTGGGTTTTCTTGATGTCTCCCCCTGCCCGAGGCCACATACTCTGTTGACATTTAATAAAAGTTATTGAGCAGTTCATAATAAATATCTAGAAGAATATATACATTAAGAATTATCATCGATTTCATGGAAGACAGATAATGGAAAAGAACAGGGTGGGAACTACTTTGTGTTGTAGAGGCTAGCGATTGTTCTGATTGGTTGTTAAGTAATTTGAATATCACCACAAAGTATGAATGGGTATGTAGCCTGCATTACCAGAGGAAGATAAAAGTCCTTAAAGCATATAATTAGTCTTCATCAATACCAACTATCAATGTCTTCAGAAAGAATTGTGGGGATACTCAACCTGGTGTCCAATGGATTTTTCAGAGGATCCTTGAATGATTTCCAAAATTCTCATGCACCAACTAAAATTGCATGCAAATTTTTATGTACATTTTGCCATTTACTGTTCCCATTTACTGAAGAAAGAAGTCTTTAAGAAGATTTAGAAATTTTTTGAAACAGAAAAAAAAAGCCAGAGTCTCTAAAGAATAAGAAAATTGGCCAGCAATTTCTCTGTAGATTAATCTAGGTCTCCTAAGAAGGAGATGTCAAAGACAAGATTAAACATGCAAGGACTTTATTAGAGGAAATGTCTGTGAGAAAAAAAATGGGGGAAGAGTCAGAAAGACAAAAAGACCCATTAGGCCAAGATGCAAGTCTGACCCTGAGAGAAGAGAGGAAAGAAATCACCCCCAGGCCATCATGTGCTCTATGGAAGGTTATAGGAGAGTTCCTGAACCAAAGTTGGTCATCAGTGGAGTTCCACGTCTCACAAGAACAGGTATGCCTCAGTTATCTCTGCCATACTCAGTTTGGAGGAAACTGGTGGGAAGCATGGCCTCAGCCCAGACATGGCAATGGATTTTAGAGCCTAGCAGCTAGGGCCCTTCGTCAGTCTTGTTTGCTGCAGTTCAAAGTCTGCAAAGCACATTTCTTTTGACGCCCCCCTCCTCCAACCAACACACACAGTCTAAGTCATGTTATTGGTCAACTCTGGTCTCCAACCTGCCCATACACTTGTTCAGGAAATCAGACTGAATTACATGCAGCTGGAACTAGTCACTTACTTTCCTCATGTTTCCTTGAAGACAATATATAATAATTGATATATTAAGATCTATAATATAATAAGATCTATATAATAATCCGAATTTGAAACTTGTTTAGATCGCTAATCCTTTAATACATTCTAGACATACTGCCAGGCTTTGTCTTCATAATTTTTTCTGGCTTTTATTCAAAACTGGAAAAAAAAAAGATTTCTGTCTTTCTCCACCTAGTTGTCCTTGAATTAGGCATTCACAAATAGAGCTCAAGAGTTCATTATGGTAAGATACTGTATTAGGTGCAGGGTGGAATATGATGAAAAACAAGCTATTAACTGTATAATCCCAGATTCAGCTTTTTAAATTGAATGAGAGAGGCAGGCAGGAAAGAGCATGACCAATAGATAAAATTCCATAAGAAAACCTCAGCAGTCACAACCTAGAAACACAATGTATATGCCTCAACATGATTACTTTGGTGAATTACAATGTCATTTCAGAAAACTGCTCTCATAGTACTTTGATAATGATACATATAAGTGATACATTAAAAAAAAAGTATTATGGCTAGAAGGCCTTGGTTTAGTGACATTGACCCAATTCTGATTTTGAAGTTTACAGTAGCATGCTTAATCTATGTTACTTAATGGAACCTAATCAAAGACAGTTATTTCCATGAGAAAATTGTCTAAAATCTTGGCTTAATTCTCTGTATTGAAACTTAAAGAAGGGCGAGAAAGCAACTTCAAGAACAAAAAAATATAATTTAAAAACAAATAACAAACTAGAAAAGTATTTACAGTATACATTGTAAATCCTTAATTTACGAAACACTTTCACAAATCAATGATAAAATGATAAATATACAAATTTAAAAATTGGCAAAAGTAGTGAATACAAAATGTGCAGAAGAAATACACACAGATCATATATGAAAAAAATCAACTTCACTTATAATGAATGAAATGCAAGTTAAATAATAAACTTCCATTTTCATTTACATAATTGACAATTCATAAAAATAATAAAATTTACCACTGGTAAGGATATTGGGAAGCAGTTCTCTCCTGGAAATAGTTTGAAATTTCTGTTGAAGGCAATATTATACACTAAAGGCCTTAAACAAGGTCTGTTTTTGACCCAGATTCCACTTTCAGAAATATAGCCTAAAGAAATATTACAGATATGTAAAAAGCATATAACAATATTTAATAAATGGATTCATAACTATAAAATAGAGGCTTGCTTAAGGATATTAATAAAATGAAATATTACATAGCCATTAAAAATCATGTTTAGAAAAAATAACTATTAACATATGACAGATAACATGTTTCTGATAAGTTTCTGTATTAGTTCATTCTTGCACTGCTATAAAGAACTACTGAGACTGGGTAATTTATAAAGAAAAGAGGATTAATTGACTCACAGTTCCACAGGCTGTACAGGAAGCATGGCTGAGGAGGCCTCAGGAAACTTACAATCATGGCAGAAAGTGAAGAAGAAGGAGCCACGTTTTACATGATCAAAGAAGGAGAAAGTGTGAAGGGGAAGGTGCCACACACTTTTACACAATGAGGTCTCATGAGAGTCACTGACTATCTTGAGAACAGCAAGGAGGAAATCCACCCCCATAATCCAATCACCTCCCACCAGGCCCCTCCTCCAACACTGGGGACTACAATTTTACATAAGATTTGGGTAGAGACACAAATCCAAACCATATCAGTTTCTAAATGAAATGGTAGGTTCCATTTTTTTATTTTGTATCTGCATTTCTATTGATTTTGCAGGACAGTTCCAAGATAATAATTTGATGGCAGCAGACTTCTGGTTTTGATTCAAAGTTCTGCTGTAAAATCAATGGCTCCATGCCTATTACTTGAAAAATATGCCAGACAATAATAGAGTTTTTGACAATGCACCAGTGCTTATTTTATGTGAATTTAAAGAACATATGGGCAGGGATATTATTCAAATACTCCAGTCATGATTTATCAACCCCAAATAGCCAAGCTGATAGTACGAAACGGACTGTGGAGGATGACCTAAAGTAAAACTCTTAGAAAAGAGGACCCAGTATGGGCTGTGCGCAGTGGCTCACGCCTGTAATCCCAGCACTTTGGGAGGCCTAGACAGGTGGATCACGAGGTCAGGAAATCGAGATCATCCTGGCTAACACAGTGAAACCCCGTCTCTACTAAAAATACAAAAAAAAAAAAAAAAATTAGGCGGGTGTGGTGGCGAGCGCCTGTAGTCCCAGCTACTCGGGAGGCTGAGGCAGGAGAATGGCATGAACTCGGGAGGCGGAGCTTGCAGTGAGCCAAGATCGTGCCACTGCACTCCAGCCTGGGCGACAGAGCCAGACTCCATCTTAAAAAAAAAAAAAAAAAAAAAGAAAGAAAGAAAAGAAAAAGAAAAGAGGACCCAGTATGACCTGGCAAAGTGCAGAGAGAGAGCCAGCCTCACAGTCAGCAGATTCTAGGCAGAGCCCTGCTCTGTCACCCTCCAAAGATGGAGCCCTTTTCATCTCTCAACTTCAGTTGCCTCACCAGTAAGATAAGGATACTACCCTCTAGAGAGGACTCATACGAAGATTACGGATGATGTATGTAAAGGCTTCACCCTCCCCATATCTAACAGAGGGTCGGTATTTCTGAAGCACTAGCAATTAAAAGCGGTTTCATCACTTTTAAAAACAGGAGTAGTCCTACTGAATTACTAATGGAGCCACAACCCTATCCAGCCAGACTTAAAATGGGATTCACAAGGCAAATAAGCAAATGGATGTTTATTTCACCCAAGAAGACAAACTTCAAGAAGAAAACCTCAAAATTTGTTAGTGGTCCTACCAGTTTGACCTGGATTTATTTATCATCATACACTTGCAATCTAGGGATACTGCATGTTCTGTGGACGTTATCTAGACCTGTGTGTCTTTGCATTGTTTTCAGAAGAAAAATCATCTAATGTCCTATCATTACCTATATGATAATAACTAGTATGATTTATTAAGCAACTATTATGTGTCAAGCCCTCAGATGCTCTACATATATAACTTTATCTACAAAACTCTTGCTAAGTATGTACTATTCTCACTTAATAGGAAAATGGTGTCTAAGGAATTAAAAATCTTAGGCCAGGCACGGTGGCTCATGCCTGTAATCCCAGCACTTTGGGAGGCTGAGGTGGGTGGATCACCTGAGGTCAGGAGTTCGAGACCAGCCTGGCCAACGTGGTGAAACCCCATTTCTACTAAAAATACAAAAATTAGCCTGGCATGGTGGTGGGCGCCTGTAATCCCAGCTACTTGGGAGGCTGAGGCAGGAGAATTACTTGAACCCAGGAGGTGGAGGTTGTAGTGAGCCAAGATCACACCACTGCACTCGGCCTGGGTGACAAGAGTGAGAATATGTCTCAACAAAAAAAAGTGTTCATGGTTATTTTAGAAGTCATATGTTCTTTAGCATGGCACATAAGGCTCTTCACAACTTTGTAACTAGGCTGCAATTTTCTCATGCATAAAATGTTTAAAAGACAGTAGTATCTGGGATGAGAGAGGATAGTGGTGAATGAGGATCACCTTGAGCTGTGTTATTTCTGGGAAACTTGATAGAGGTGGAGGAATCAGTTGGGTCCTCGTGTAGAAAAGATTTAGAGAAGCAAAGAGTAAGATATGAATCCCATGTATGACAGGAAAAAATGATGTTCTCAAGCAGCATCAGTGGCCCAGATGAGGAAAGTCCAAATGAATTTGTAGTGAACTAGCTCCATCAAGAACTGGAAAATATTCAGTAAATGGTGTTGGTGATTGTAGATCATATTTCTTGGAAGGTTCAGAATTAGAACCCTAACTGTGATATCAATATACAGAAGGAAAAATAGAAAAATATACAAGTGTTAATCCTCTTGCCAACTCTAAAGAGAATAACAAGATTGCAAATAATGCTAATTTGAGCAATACGTTGATAGATTCATATAAGCAGATATATCTGTAATTAATTCAAGTAAAAATGTTTTAAAACTCCATGCCATGTTTCTCACTACGAACATGCACCTTTTTCATTCTTAATGTCTTCAAAATAGAAGTGCATCTTAGAGTCAAAGGTACCTTAAAGTCACTGTAACCAGGCAGCACTCTTGACTTAGTTATCTTCTTACTCATAAGCAAAGTTGGTGCTTTTCTTGGTGGCTTACCTGTAAAACTGCAACTTCTTTTCTTTTTTTTTTTTTTTTTTTTTTTTTTTTGAGACGGAGTCTCGCTCTGTCGCCCAGGCTGGAGTGCAGTGGCACAATCTCGGCTCACTGCAAGCTCTGCCTCCCAGGTTCACGCCATTCTCCTGTCTCAGCCTCCCAAGTAGCTGGGACTACAGGCGCTCGCCACCACGCCTGGCTAGTTTTTTGTATTTTTAGTAGAGATGGGGTTTCACCGTGTTAGCCAAGATGGTCTCGATCTCCTGATCTCCTGATCCACCCACCTCAGCCTCCCAAAGTGCTGGGATTACAGGCGTGAGCCACCGCGCCCGGCCACTGCAACTTCTTAGTTTTCAGCCAACAAAACATTTAAGAGCCATTAGAAAAAAATAGGAGCTCTAATTGTTGCTTGAAATCCTTCCATTGACATTTTCTGGGAAGACTGAGAAGACATAAAACTAGCCAAAAGTTGTCAATTACTTAGAATTTAATGCCAGTGACATTCGTGCAATAGTCCTGGAAATATCCTGACTCACTAGTCCACTTCAGGCACAGAAGAAAACACTGTGGAAAAACATGGATATACATGACTCTGAGTTGAAAAATAATTCAGAAGAGTCAAACTCTGAATTTGAAGACAGTTTGGGAATACCTTTAATATACTTTACCTCTGTTTTCCCTTTTTTGAATATATGAGTAATATGTGATTAAAACTTCTATATCCGAATCCGTCTAAAGAGCTCTGTCAACAAGTATGAAATAAAAATTCTTCAGTAATAAGAATACATTGTGTCAGGGTTTAATTAGCATTTTTTTCTGTCTTGGTACAATAAAGGGTGTTTTAGAGTTGAGGAAATAAAGGACTAACTGAAGAATACCTTTAAATGCTTTCAAAACTCCTTAATTCCTATCAAAACAGGTGGAAACCCTGTCAAGAACAGTGGTCCATCAGCTGGTAAACAGAATAAATAATGCAGAAATTGTACAGTATAATTATCCATCATTATGGCAAACATGTTCCTTTAGCCCCAAAATGAGTAATCCTATAATGAATTTACTCCAAAGTATCTAAGGTGAGTAAGCAATTCTTTTGTAGTAAACTACTTGCTGCTATGAGGTAAATTAACTCTTCCGGACACCATTTAAAAAATCACTTCTTACAGAGTACTAAATTGTACACTGATGTTCTAGGCAGTTAATTTGCCACACAGGAGAATTTTTGTCCTGTGGGGTATTTTATTCCTCTTACCTCACATGGATCATGTAGAGTCTAAGAAAGTCATCTAGATTACTGCGACTATTTAAATTTGTGCCATTTAAATGAAATACACTGTGAGGTTCATAACAAAAATAAATTGAATTGAATATTGTTAGGGAACTTGGTAGAATTTCTTTCAGACAACAATCTGGGTAGTGGTTTTTAGTGTTGTTTTGTTTTTTTGGTTTTTTTTGAGATGGAGTCTCACTCTGTTACCCAGGCTGGAGTGCAGTGGCATGATCTGAGCTCACTGCAACCTCCGCCTCCCGGATTCAAGCAATTCTCCAGCCTCAGCCTCCTGAGTAGCTGGTATTACAGGAATGTGCCACCAAGCCTGGCTAAATTTTTTTGTATTTTTAGTAGAGATGGAGTTTCACCATATTGGCCAGGCTGGTCTCGAACTCCTGACCTTGTGATCCACCCACCTCGACCTCCCAAAGTGCTGGGATTACAGGCGTGAGCCACCGTGCCCGGCCTAGTGTTTTTTTGTTTTTTTTTAAGGGAAAAAAATATGAGTAGGTTTAGGGTTTGATGCTTCTTTGACTCTAGTTTCTTACAGAGTTTCTGTTTTGATATATAATATTTTATTACCTGTCCTCTTTCTGTTGCTAAGCAGATGGGACATGTTGCTATGTGACATTTTACACGACCACTTTTATGCAGCTTCAACAGTAATGACCAGGGGTCATGAAAACATAATCACACACACTAAAAACTGGAGCACTTGCCTTTTTGTTTCTGGAAAACTACAAATAATATACTCAAAATAGTTTCTTAGGATATAACAGTCATGATAATATATTTATTAAATAAGTTTTTTACTATATATTACCCCTTTAGAGGTTCACAAAGACCCAGTATAAACATCATCATCATATTTCAGGTGAGAAAAAGGAGACTATGAAAAGTCAGATCAAATGAAAAACACATGGCCACGAGGGGAAATGAGTTCTATTCATTGGACTTTTTAACCCAGAAAATATCAAAATTCTCTCCAAAGCAAAGGAAAGCTGGAAGTTTTACACTTGCACTAACAGCTAATTTCAAGATATATTTTTACTTCCTATAGCTCTAGGTGCTAACTTTACATCTTTCTTACTCTTTAATGATACTTAATAATAATGTTGACAGATATCAATTACCTGATACTGAGTTCTACTAGGCAGCCAAATAAATGTTTTCCCTATACCAGCCCACAATATCCTCACAACAGCGGAAGATTATGAAGAATCCAAGACTCAGGAATCTAAAATCAAGGTCATTTAACACATCGTGGAGCCAGGATTAAAAGTGACATGTGCTGACTTCTAAACCTACACTTCTAACCACTACACTGTACTGTCCCAGCTGCCAGGTCTTTCAGAATTATCAGAAGTCTCTTTGCATTTGAGTACAGGTTGTTCTTTCATACCTACAGTTTTAATTAATGTTTCTCATTCTCAAAGAACACAGTACAAATGTGTTTAAAAAGCAATAAAACATTTGCCTTCAGAAGGCATGGTAAATAGTTGGATGATAGAGAACTGAAAGACAATTAGCATACAATGACAATAATGCAGGTATATGTGCACGTAATTAATTGCTCTAGAACACACAAAACAGAGAAAAGCCAGTGGCCCAGTATGTGGTTCACTAGAATGAGCACTGCAACAGGGACCCAAAAACTGATTTTTGGTTCATTTTTAACATGCATTTATTAAATATTGAATAGATGCAAAGAAACATTTAAAAAACATTTGTAAATATCTGTAGTTGAAGAACCACAGCAAAATCAATGCTTATCTCTGGACCATAATGTTAAATAGAGCATTAACGTGATCTGTGGCGTCCCTGCTTCCCTCCTTCCATGAGGAACTACTTTCCTAAATCTCATGTTTCTCATTCCCTTTGTTTCTTTGTAATTTTATCACACAATTTGCATCCAGAAACAATGTATTGCTTAGTCGCTTATAATTTAGAACATAAACTTTCCTATATTCATCAGTAGTATTCTGTGACTTGCTTTTTCCGTAACATTAGATTTCTGAGATTCATGCATGTACTTGCTTGTTGTTACTTGTGGCTGAAGTTCATTTCCTTGATTTTCTGCATGTATGTGGATACACCATTTTTCGTATGACTATACCATATATTTTATCCATGCTCATTTTAATGGGCATTTTCATTGCTTCCAGTTTTTTGCTAGTATAAAAGTTACCAGCCTAAAGATTTTCCTATCTTTCTTATACAAAAATTTCTCTAGAGTATATCCCTGCAAGGATACTTGCTGGCTCACAGGATGTGCATACGGTCAACTTTCCTAGATAACATCTAGTGATATTCCACAGTGTTTGTACAAGGTATACACCTTCAGTGTGCAAAAGTTATGGTTGCTCCATAGACTTACCAAAAATTGTTTCAGTCAACCTCCTAATTTTCACCTATCTGCTGCTGAGTATGAAATGCTATTTCATTATGGTTTTAACTTGCATTTCTTTGAAGACTATTGAAATTAAGCTCCCTTTCATTTGTTTAGAAACTGTTCAAGTTTCTTCTTCTGTGAAGTACCTGTTCTAGTCTTATTGTCCATTTCCGCACTGGGTTTTCTTTTTCAGTCTGATTTGCATGCATTCCTTATGTATCCTGAATACTAATCAATTTTTAGCTATGTGTGCTACAAATACCTTCTCTCGGTCAGAGGCAGATGTTTTCACATTCTCTATGAGGTCTTTTTATGAACAAAAGTTCTAAATATTGTTGAAAACAATTTTTCAATAGTTTGTGGTTCTTTTTTGTTTTGTTTTGTTTTGAGACAGAGTCTTGCTCTACCGCAGAGGCTGGAGTGCAGTGGCGCCATCTCGGCTCACTGCAAGCTCCGCCTCCTGGATTCACGCCATTCTCCTGCCTCAGCCTCCCGAGTAGCTGGGACTACAGGCGCTGGCCACCACGCCCGGCTAATTTCTTTTGTATCTTTAATAGAGATACACACGGTGTTAGCCAGGAAGGTCTCGATCTCCTGACCTCGTGATCCGCCCACCTCGGTCTCCCAAAGTGCTGGGATTACAGGCGTGAGCCACCTCGCCCGGCCAGTTTGTGGTTCTTTTTAAAGACATCTATCCTTACACTAAGGCTATGTGGATCATCTCATCCATCATTTTCTAAAAGTTTCAGTTTTGCCTTTCACGCTTCAGTATTCAATCATCCCAGAACAGATATCTGTGTTGTATAAAATATGAGGTCTAATTTAACTGTTATATTATATGGATGGTTCCAATGTCATTGGTTGAAAATTTTATATTTTCCTTAGTGCCCTGCAATGCCATCTGGATCATAAATCAAATTTCCAGACATGTGAGGATGTATTTGGGGCCCTCTGTTCAATTTAATTATTGTCTTTGTTAGCCCATTTGGCAATATCATATTGTTTTAATTATTCTACATTTACATTAATTCTTGGTATCTGGCAGGAAAATTTCTTCACCTAAGTTTTTGGTTCTTGACCCATGTCTGAGTTCTACATGGCTCCTGACTCTTTCAAATAAATTGTAGGATCAGTTTTAAAGCATCACCAAAAATATTATGAGTTTTAATGGAATTTTAATCTATTAAATATATTATTTAATTTTTATTAAAATTTGCATCTTTAGGATATTGAATTTTCTTGTCCATGAATACCATAGAGTACTCCACTTATATAGGGCTTTTCCAATGTGTTCTCACAAAGCTTTATTATTTTCCCTGTAAAAGTCATGCATATCTTTTATAGATTTTTTTCTGTAAGTGCTTTACATTTTTTGCTATTATAAATCACATTCTCTTTTTAAATATTGCCTACTTGTTTTTGAGTTATGAATAGAAATATATTGATTTTTTGTACATTGATTTTCTATCTAGCCACCTTGCTAAATTCTCTTGCTAATTTAATAATCTGCATATTATTTTGTTTTCTACACAGTTATATGCAAATAATAACCATCTCATTTTTTACAAACCATATACCTTCACAATTTACTTATTTATTTATTTTTGTCTTAATGAGCTGGTTAGAATCTCTAGTGTAATGTACATAAGAAATAGTAATGGTGTGGGGCGCGGTGGCTCATGCCTGTAATCCCAGCACTTTGGGAGCCCTGACGGGCGGATCACGAGGTCAGGAGATCGAGACCATCCTGGCTAACACGGTGAAACCCCGTCTCTGCTAAAAATACAAAAAATTAGCCGGGCGTGATGGTGGGCGCCTGTAGTCCCAGCTACTCGGGAGGCTGAGGCAGGAGAACGGCGTGAACCCGGAAGGCGGAGCTTGCAGTAAGCCAAGATTGCACCACTGCACTCCAGCCTGGGCGACAGAGCAAGGCTCCGTCTCAAAAAAAAAAAAGAAATAGTAATGGTATGAAAATTTCATGTTCTTGATCTTGAGTTAATTTTAAATTAACTGCGAATTATTCCACTAAAATGCTGCACATTACTTGAAGATAAATATTATCTACTTTTAGTCTGCTATAAGTTTTTATAATGAATAGATTATAGATTATGAATTTTATCAAAAGCTTTTTCCTTCATCTATTGAGGTGGTGTACTTTTCTCCCTTTATTAATATAAGAAATTAAAATTTAATTTTTTTCCATGTGAAGCAAGCCTTTAATTCCTGGAATAATGCCAATTTAGTCCAGTATTCTTTTTTATATAGTGTGTGATTCATTTTATTAATGTTTTGTTTAAGAAATGCTCTTCTCTCTCTATGCACAAGATCAGACTTTCTAGTTCCTACATTCGTTTGTATGAAATTTGAATAATTTATTCCTTGAATGTTACATAATCCACATTGACTAAGTCATCTGGGAATAATGTTTTGTTTCAGTTTTGTTTGTTTCTTTGTGAAAAGGGGAAGTTTTTAACTGCTGAATCAATTTCTTTAATGATTATAGGATTATGTGATGATCTATTCTTATTGCATTAATTATGGTAAATTATATTCTGAAGACTGTTTCCAGGTCTAATAAGACTTCGGCGTTAGCATAATGTTGTTTATTATTCTCTGATTATGAAGACTCTGCAGTAATATCCTCTTTTATTTCAAAATTATTACTTTTGCGCTCTCTTTTCTTGATCAATTTGGTTGGTGGATTGTCTTTGTAAAGAACAAAGTTTGGTTTTGTCGGTTTCATTTTACTTTCGTTTTTTATTTTATTGTAAATTCCACTTGATCTATTTTTAGGTTACATTCCATTTAGGTTTTTTTAGTGTTATAAATAAAAATCTTAGCTCATTAATGTTCTGTCTTTTTTTGTCTTTTAATATATAGTATTTTTGGTTTTGTTCTATTCTAAAAATTTTCTAATTTTTATTATAATTTCCCATTTGGCCCATGCTTTACTTAAAATTATGTTTGTTTGTTTTGGGGGGGGGGGGTGTTACTGTTTGTTTGTTTGTTTTTGAGACAGAGCTTTGCTCTGTCACCCAGGCTGGAGTGCAGTGGCGAGGTCTCGGAGCCCCTGCTT
Organism: Homo sapiens; assembly: GCF_000001405.40. NCBI lineage: Eukaryota > Metazoa > Chordata > Mammalia > Primates > Hominidae > Homo > Homo sapiens. Next base: position 19,656,673 of record NC_000006.12, read on the forward strand.
CCCGGGTTCAAGGGATTCTCCTGCCTCAGCCTCCCAGGTAGCTGGGAATACAGGCATGTGCCACCATGTCCAGCTAATTTTTGTATTTTTAGTAGAGACGGGGTTTCACTATATTGGTCAGGCTTGCCTGGAATTCCCAATCTCAAGTGATTCACTTGCCTCAGCCTTCCAAAGTGCTGGGATTATAGGCGTGAACCACTTTGCCCGGCCTAGAATTATGTTTCTTGATCTTCAAATGCCTATGGTTTTGTTGGTTATAGTTTGCTGTTGGTTTCTAACTCAATTGTTTTGTGCTCAAAAAAATGAATGAGATCAATCTTTGAATTTGTTGAGTCTTACGTGGTGGCCCAGTATATGATATTTTTTTCCATAAATAACTTGAGATAAATATAGTGTTCACAATTAGCTCTTGTTAATTAAGCTCTTTAGATCTTCTCTATCTTTACTGATTTTTTTTTGTCAGCTTAATCTAACAAGCACTAAGACACAATTACTATAATGATAGACTTGGGTATCAACTTGCCTTTGCAGGCCAGTCAATTTTTGCTTTATAAGTTTTGAGGCTTGGTTACTAAGCACATATAAGCTCAATACACACACACACACACAAACACATAGACAACTTCTTGTTAGCTAGAAATGTTTATCATATAATCACTCCTTATCTCTAGTTAGCCATTTGATTTAATGTCTATTTCCTCTGACATCAATAGAACTCTCAAATTCCTTTGACTAGTATTTACCTGGTTACTTCTAAAGACATATATATGATAATATATAAGAAATATATATAAGTGTAAATCTATATGTGTGTATATGTATGTCTATATGAAAAACATATATTATTAATATGTGTATATGTTTGTGTATGTACGTATGTATGAAAAAGATACATATGTATCTTTTTCTCTCTGTCTGCTTTTAAGATCTTCTGTTTGTCTTTGGTGTCTTGAATCTACTCTCTAATATCCCTATGTGTAGATTTCTTTGTGACTATCGTATGTCATTTATTATGGTCTCTGGCTTTGAGGATTGGTAACCTTAATAGCTGGAAAAAGTTTCATCGATTATTTATTTAATGATTGCCTCTTCTCCATTTTCTCCTTTAAGGACCCTGATTTATTTTCATCTCTCTTTCTTATTTTTCACCTGTTTTTCCTTATTCTGTATTACAAATAATCTTAGATTATTATATCTCTGTCCTAATGTGTATAATCTGTTTGTACCATTTGTTGAATGTTTATTTTCAAATATCACCTGTTTCCGTATTCCTAAAAACTAACTATATTTGATTTTTTAAATCTACTTGATCATGAAGTCTCTTGCTCATTTTCAATTCCCTTTTTAATCTTTAAGCATATTGATAATGTATATTTTATTCTACCTGCCAGATAACTCTAATATTTGATGTCTTTGAGATTGTACTAACCTTTGTTTACACCAAGGCTCATTCACAGTGCCTTATTTCCTTGTATATTTTGTTATACTTGTATCTGAGTGATGAGGTTCAGGGTATGTTACCTCAAAACATGGCACCTTGGCATTTGAAAAAAACAGCAGAAGCAAGAAGTTCTCACTGACCTTCTCCTGCCATTCTCCACTGAAGCAGGCCATCCAGAAAAGAATTTTCTGAACTTCCCCTAGAGTAAGTCATAAGACATTGAGGAAAGGAATAAAGACACAGAGTTGCTAAGAAGCATCCAAACAAACAGATCATGCTAAGTTCCCCCTGGTTTGTTACCATTAGATCATACCCTTTTGTCCTCCAATCATATTTCTGCAATAGTCATTCATAAAAACAGATTTCCCTGTTTCTTTGTGTCTTCATTTCTGAAGGCTCCCATGTCATGTAAAAGTTATAAATAAATTTGTATGCTTTCCTGTTCTAACCTGTCTTTTGTTATAGGGGTCTCAGCCATGAACCTTGTAATGAATGGGTGAGGAATCTTTTCTCCCATACATGAGTTTATCTTTCTCAGCATTAGTCTTTGCTTCTGTCAGATGCCTGCTCATACTGGTAACCAAAGTTCACTTTAAATTAAATTATTGGCTTAAGGTTCCTGAGACTATGCAGGTATAAAATTCAGATGTGAATTCTCAGGGTAAACATTCTCCCTTAACCACAGCCAACTCCAAGGTTCAAGACAAGAGACTGCTCCTTCTATCAGTGCTACCTGTTCCCACACATACAATCCAGGACAGGGACCAGTTTAATTCTAGAGACTTTTACAGTGAGGATGCAGCCTATTGGGGTCCCAGTTTTATTCTGCTGATCTCTTACTAGATTCCTGTCCTCTCCCCTCCTCTGTGGGAATGCAAAAGCCAAAGCTCAAGGTTATCTGGATTCAGCAAATACCTTCTTGGTGAAAGCAGCTTCCATGCTAATTTACATCTCCAGATCCCTGCTTTCACTTAGTTATTAACCTCTGAGTAAGTTGTCAGATTTAGCAAATAAAAATGCAGGATGCTCAATTACATTTGAATGTCAGATAAATAATTTTGTATACATATGTTTCATGCAATATTTGAGACATACTCATATAATAAAATTATTTATTGCTTATCTGAAATTCAAATTTGACTGGATTTCCTGTGTTTGTTTTCTGGCAACACTGCACTGAAGAAATTCTTATTTTCTTGCCAGTTCGTTGATGTATCTAGGGAGCCTTTTAAAAACTGAACAGCATTTTTGTTGTTTTCTGCAAGAAGGTCAGTCAAGTTTGCATACTGCTAGAAGCAGAACTCATTTTTGCCTTTCTCTTACCACCTACCCACCTTATGAAACTGGGGAAGTTACTTGCCTCTGTGAACCTTAACCACTCACAGTATTCTGACTGCATATCCTGAAATTTGGAAAGGACCTTAGAGATCATCTCTTATAATCTCCTTATGTTAAAACACAGAAAACTGAGACTCAGACAAGTAAAACAATAAGGCCAATATTATACCCAATTTAGCGTCAGGGTGGAAACCAGAAATCCTGCCTCCTCACTCATTCAGCATTCTTTCCATTCTACCATGTTGACCGTGAGGATCAAACGAGCTAAGTAATATCAAGGCACTAGGCAGAACATTGAAAGTACATAAAGCCTTAGAATAAAAGTAAGGTACTCAAAGTGATTTTGATTACAGAGTCTAACACAAAAATTGGGCAGCTTAAATGTGAGATTTACTATGGAATAATATTTATGGAAGGAACCTCATAGGAATATAATAACATATTTATACATTCTTTCCTTCTAGGAATCTTAAACATAACAATGAGAATTTTCTACAAATATTTAAAGAAAATTAATGATATTAAAATAAAATATCTGGCCAGAAATATAGTTTATTAAACAAGAATTTTTGGCCTAGAACATAATATATTCTCCATAGCAAATAAGACAAAAACAGAACTTAATTAGCAAAAGCCCTCTCTTCTTTTCTCCTTCCTCTTTTCTTACGAAGAAATGCTTTCAGAATGCTTAAGACTCTTACCATGCTACTTTCTTTGCTACAATCAGTGCATGATTGCCACTCAAATTGCTATACTGGTCCTTTTTCCTCTAGCTCTGCATAAAAAGAAGATGCAGATGAATGGATTTTCTGTGGGTTAATTTATTAGGAGTGCAAAGCAATTATCAGCAAGGTAAATCATGGAACATGAAGTACACTGTTACATGCTGGTTGCTGTATAATGTAGGTCCCTTGGCCACAAATGCAATTAAAGTGTTATATTTTATTCCTTTTAATTTTATCTCCTAGTCTATCCTTGGCTTAACCCAGACAAGTTTAAACGTATGTCAATATATGATCAATAGGTGGAAGTGTATAGTATTCACCACAAACAATTTCTTTATGTTTGGTGCTATGGGATAAATTTTCATGATATTATAGCATAAATCTACAAAATGGGGGTTAGAAAATGTAACTGTAGGACTCCATTCCCAGGACATCAGCTTGTCAGTTTCTTGTGTGGCTGTAATCGGGTGAAATTATATTACTGTCATGTGACCAGAGACTGGAGGGAGGTGAATTAAGCAGTGCTTGCAAATGCCTGTCACATGAATAGTATCTAAATCTTCTGTTTTTAATTTTAAAGGGCAGGTCCAAAGAAAGTCATGTTTACCAGGCTCTCAGGACTCATAAAAGAAAGCCTTAACAGCAGAACCAAGCCTTTTACCTCACAGACCAGTCCAAGTCTGAATACTATGAACATGATAGAAAGGCACCACTTCAACAAGGAGAGTGGGGCTAAAATCCCAGTTCTGTCATAGCTAAATTTGGTCATTAGGATAACCAATGATTTCACCCTCCTTTCTTCAACCCCTGCAGTGAAATTCTAGTATAACCTGTATCACACTGGATTGTAATGTTTCCTTACGTGTCTTTCTCCCTATCAGCTCCATCTTTAGCTCTTTGATGATGCTGAATGAGGGACAATCTTGTAAGAATCAGTACTCCCCTGCTCAGAACCATTTAGATATTTTAGCAGCTCATCAATAACCAAGATTTTTATTAATTTTTTTTTTAAAAAAAGGTTTTCATGGCTCTTTGTGCCATGATTTAGAATTTGACCTTGATTCAGTTTCCTCATTCAGTTTCTCCTCGCCTCAGTTTTCTCATTTACAAAGTGGTAAAAACAACAACTGCCTGGTAGGATTATTAATAACACATTTAAAAATATATATTTTGTAGATTAACAGAAGCTATTGTGATAATGTTGGTTATTCTTTGTTCACCAAGAGCTATAAGCCAACAGCAATATTTAAAATGATACCTTCGAGGCAATACATCAGGAAATACCAAGAAACAGACCATTAAACTTGAAGAAAGTGACAAAACGATACCAATAAAGTAAGTGGTCAGGATAAGTAAGGTTAGAAAGAAAAGATGATTGGAAAAAGTGAGTCTGTATTCTGAAACAACACACATGGGTTAGAGGAAAGAGGAAGGAGGCTGGGCACAGTGGCTTATGCCTGTAATCCCAGTACTTTGGGAGGCCAAGAGGGGCGGATCACCTGACATCAAGAGTTCAAGATCAGCCTGGACAACATGGCAAAACCCCATCTCTACAAAAATACAAAAATTAGCCGGGTGTGGTGGCATGCATCTGTAGTCCCAGCTACTTGGGAGGCTAAGGCAAGAGAATTGCTTGAACCCAGGAGGCGGAGGTTGCAGTGAGCTGAGATTGCATCACTGCATTCCAGACTGGACGACAGAGCAAGACTTCATCTCAAAAAAAAGATGATGGCAAATGTGAGACCATAGGGAACGCTGGGATTTAGTGGGAAATTGTTGGTTTAGTGTAAAGAAATGAGGTGGGAAGAGGTGCTCTCTCTATTCAAAATAGTAAAAAAAAAAAAAAAAAATAGTAAAAAAAAAACTATCACGAGGTTGAAACATTCCTATTCATCCTAATGAACAATTAGAAACTTTCAGGGATTCTGGAGCAACAGAGAAAGGCAGAGAAAGTCAGTAATTTGACTATCATTTTGGCACATCTGTAGGGCAAGAAAAATGTGTTTTCCTCACCTGTCTCAAGTTCATGGCTAAGGTCCCTGTAACAAAAGAAAGATTAACAACAGGAAAGCATACCATTTTATTTAATGTAAGTTTTTCATGACACAGGAGCCTTCAAAAGAAAATGAGACCCGAATAAATAGTTAAACCTGTGTGTTTTAATGCTAAATTTGAAGGGTGGATAGTCGTGAAGAAATATAATATGACCAAGGGGGTATGATCTAATGGTAATAAACTGGGGAAAACTTAGCAGGGCCTGTTTGTTCAGATTCCTCTCTGTGACCCTTTGTCTTCAGAAATAAGGATAGCCCTTTCCTCTGGGTATAGGGAGGGTACCTCCCACATGAAGTTCTTATGAACTGCGTCAGAGGAAGGTCAGAAAATCCTCCCTAGGTTTTATGACCTGCTTTGGGGGGAAGGTCAGGGAGACCTTCCTGCTTTTGCGGTTTTCCCAAATTCCTTTAGCCTAAAATATTCAGGGATACTATATCCTGAACCCCAATACATGTTTATATCATTTTTTTTAGCTTACTAGGTTCTATTACAGAAAAAGTCTTGAAAAAATGGAAGAAACCCACCCGAAGGCTGCTGTCATCACACAGATAAGAGGTGGCGAAGGCGGTAGGTGCAGTAGGTGACTGATTCTGTGATGTATGCTCAAGGGTGAAGGAAGATCAACAACTGTTCAGACTGTTTCTTCCCTAACCTAGCTGAATCCTCAAAATACAAGCAGATGCCTTCCCTGTAGCAAAAGTCTCTGTCCATAGTGATAGTGTAAATGCCCCACAGAGAGAGTTAAAATTAAACTTCTCACATTTTAGCACCTCTGTGTGAATACATTTGCTTGTTTGTTTTTCCTAGAGCAGATGTCCATAAGGGATTGTCAGGAAGGTGGTAAGAGCTCTGAGCCCTAAGTGGGTGGCAACCATCACTGACGCAGAGAAGGACATTAAAAGGGGTGGCTGGGGGTGTTGAATGTTAGTTCTCTTCTGCAATTTTGCCTGAGGCTGCCCTTGAGGATGATAGTGCTGACCACGACAATAAAACTCTGAATAATAACTAAATGTGGTCAAGGGAGAATTAAAAACTAATGTTAAAATAAACAGCGATGTTAAAACAGTGTTTCCCCAAATTCACCCTTTTGCTTTTGGGGGAATTCAGTTATTGTGCATGCCCCTGCTCCTTTGTGTGAACAAATTTTAGCTTCAATTCAGTTCTGCATTGCACTTCTATTACACAAATGTCTCTTTGGCTTCAACTGCCTTCCTTCACTTGAGATAACCCATCATTATTGTCTCCACTTATCTATGAAACATGTGTTTTATGTTTAACTTGCATGTACAAATCGAAGCGGGTTGTCAACATTACTATGGACTGATATATTCTAAAATAAGTAGATGCAATGATATTGCCTCAGTGTTGTAAGCACCCTCTTTGCATCTGCAGCTATCCCCTCTCATGCTAAATTGTGTTCTTTTGAATAATTTAACGCTTTTGTTATTTAAAATGTGATGTATTCATGCTTTGTGTCCGCAACGCCAGTGAAAGCTCTTAGAGGTTTTATTCACCTCTATCCCTCAGCACCCAACACTAGTCTCTTTACTTAGGAAAATACTTGAGTTTTTCAGGCTTAACTACATATTACTCGTTATGGATGGGAGTGCTTGCTCTTTTTAGGGTTGACAATTTTGCACTGTATGATACTTTAAGTAATTATGTTTATAATCAATTAGTGAGGGCAGGGGATGAGGGACTCTCAAAACCACTTTCGAGTGCATAGTGAAACATGATTAAATCAGATTCCACAACTTCGACATTTGTGTAAATTTGAATGTGATTCGTGCATGGAGCTGTTGAGTCCCCTGTTCATCAACTTGGGGTACAAAATAAGGTTTCATATTCAAAATGAATTATTTTGAATACTCATGCTTTCTTCATCTTGCTCGTAGCTGAATTCTTTTCCAAAATGCAGCTCTCTAAATGAGTCCTGGGGACCTCCAGGAATTCAGTCACCATTCCTGACTCCGTTCCCTCTATTGCTTGCCTTTTGTGGACCATCACATTGTTCCCCGCACATCATACTCCTGTGGCTGCATGGACCATTGAACCGTGACGTCAGCACGTCCTGCTAATTCTACCTTTAGGTTCTAGGCTGCAATTACCCTCCCAATTTCCTCTCCTACCACTCTTTCCTTCATACTCTATGCATTTTCACAGGCCTTTCGTGGTAGTCACACATTCACCACTTCCCACAGGCCATTCCCTCTGCTTCGAATGTCCTTTCTACACTGCACACCCCTCATCCAAATGGGCAAACATTTAAATCTTAGCCAAATTGTTATGTCCTCCTTACCACTATCCCTGACTCTCAGAATTAGCTATCCGCCCTCCTTTCTCCAATCCCTACAGTGAAATTCTAGTATAACATGTATCACACTGGATTGTAATGTTTCCTTATGTGTCTTTCTCCCTACCAGCTCCATCTTTAGCTCTTTGATGATGCTGAATGAGGGACAATCTTGTAAGAATCAGTGCTCCCCTGCTCAGAACCATTTAGATATTTTAGCAGCTCACCAATAACCAAGACTTTTATTAATTATTTAAAAAAAAAAAAAAAGGTTTTCATGGCTCTGTGTGCCATGATTTAGAATTTGACCTTGATTCAGTCCAAACCACATTCTAAGAAAATCTAATTTAGGTGAAGCATTATGTGGCTATTATATTAGTACATTTGGGAATGGCAGAGCAGATATGGATATATACAGCAAGTTGTACGGCGGATAAGAGAGGTGGGTAAAATTAACTTTCCCATTTAAATGTTCCAGAAAATTTTAAAAACTGAGCTGTCAGAGAAAAAAAGCAAAGAACCCACATATTGCTACTCAGCATAATTTTGCTTAGAAAATAGCATTATTTCTGCTTGATTTGATTTCATGTGGTTAAGTTTGGAGGAAATGTTATTTATTATACCACAGCTAAGCTTATGTAATTATCCACAAATGTTCTAGTGTAGTACATACAGCCAACAACAGGAATGCTTGTTGCATCAATTTGGAAAAGAGAGGAAAAAAATTAGCCATGTAATAGTTAATTCAATTTATAAAATTAAATGTGTATTAAAAATATGTCTGGTAAATATTATGCCATCTGCACATGCTCAAACAGTAAGCCTGGTTAATATTTTATAGTTTATCTGATAAAGTTAACAAAATAATTTAGTCAGAGTGGAGACATACACTGAATATTTCATCACCTTCTTAATTGCAGAATACAGACAAGACATTTTTTTTTCCCTTTGGGAAAAATAAATGTTAAAAGTTATTACAGATGGAATCAGTTTGGCAATTAGGTTGAAATCCAACTGAAACCAAGCAGAAATGGATGGCTACAAACATCACAGTACCAAAGTATTTTCAGCCAATTCCATCCATTTACATGATGAAGCAGAAATGTTGATAGCAATGCTGTGAAACTCGGCTAGCAGAGGTTATATTAACACAGGAGAAAAACTGGCTTTGTGCCTTTTTCCCCAATAGTTAATTTGCAGTCATCAAGAGCTGTCATTCTTATGCACAGCAGACAATATGATATACCTAAGGCTTTTCAGTCTGACTTCTGATTTAAAGGTCTTCAGCTTATGCTGTGGACCTTAACCTTGAAGCCAAGTGCAAATTAGCTTTAAATCAATGAAGCTGATTAAAGCTCCATTGTGGTTGAGCCCTTAATAGAAGAAGGGAGGGGAAGGAACCACTTGAAAACAGCAAGATTGGCCTCTCTTAACTTGGAACATATGTAATGCTTTTCAGCTCTTCTCTACCCTGACAAAACCATGAATGGTTTTAAGGCTATTTACCTGCTAAGAGAATGGAACCAAATTTTCCAATTCAGTGGAAGAGGTCAAGTGAGAATCAAAGGTATTTTTCACAAGCACTAGGATATAAAAGGTTATTTTAAAAAGAAATAAAGAGGAGAACATCAAAACACCTCCCTAATGGAGGCCAAGAGAACCAAGTTTCTATCATGTGAAAAAAAAAAATCTTAGATTGTAAAGGTGCTGTGGATTTCTGCTTGTTTTGTTTTATGTTTTTTAGATTTACCGTTTCTCAAAACAGGAGGATGTTGCAACTTCTGACCATCTACAGAAAATGTTTCTTTTCCTCATAAATGAATATGTCTGTAAAAAAATTTGCCTGCAGAAAAGTTATTTGCTTTGAAAGTGGCCAGAATAAACTCTAGGCAAAGCAGGGTCATTCGTTTATTTATAACCCACCACCAGTACCACCTATCCATAGCCACAGGAATCACTTTACCTGAGTGATTTACCAATTCTTCCTAATTTTTCTGGGGCTATCAGCATCTGGACAAATTCAATTTTTACAAAAGAATATACATATATATATATATATATATATATATATATATATATATATATATTTATTTATTTATTTTAGAGATGCGGGGCTCAGTCTTACTGTGTTGCCCAGGCTAGACTCCAACTCCTGAATTCAAGTGATCCTCCCCTCTCAGACTCCCGAGAAGCTGGGACTCAGCTACTGTGCCAGGCAAGAACAATTCTTTTTATAACATCTTCAGAAACATTAAAATTATAGACTAGAAAGACTATTTCAAATAGAGAAAGGCTCACTTTTCCTGCCTAATGTAATTCTTTAATGTTGCAATTCAATTTGCCCTTCACAGAAACACCATCCCACTGTAACAGATTATAGGGAGTGACCTTCTCAATCTCATCCAAGGTATGGATGGGTCCTTGTCTTCATATTTCAGGCATGCTGAATTTTAAATTAGGGAAAAGAAATTTTACCGAGAAAACTGGAGAAAAAAAACAAATACAAAAAGGCAGGAGCTAAGGAGTCATAGAGTACAGGTAATTTAATAATACAGAGTTGACCATGCCTACTAACTACATTAGTTATTATTTATTAAGTGCTTACAACCATGCTTAGCAGATAGCATGTGCTCAATGCATGTGAGCTGTTGTCTGTTATTCCAATGGCTTGGATGCACACTTGACCATGCAGAGTCCACAATCCTTCTTACTCCTCCCTTGAATGTACATGCTGCCAAAACTCTGCTTTGAAGCCCTCAAAATTTCCTCTCCCACTCCAATTTCTATGGAACTTTAATAGACAGAGAACAAGAGAGCTGAACTAAAATAGAAATCAGTCACTGTGACCTAACCAAGTTACTAAAAACATGCTAAGAGTCACCAAAGGCTGAGAAGTATCAACACATAAAAGCATGTACACTAGAAACAGAGCAAAATACTTAATTCCCCAGTCTTGAAAGTCAAACAGGCCGGGCATGGTGGCTCACGCCTGTAATCCCAGCACTCTGGGAGGCCAAGGCAGGCGGATCACGAGGTCAGGAGTTCAAGACCAGCCTGACCAATATGGCGAAACCCTGTCTCTACTAAAAATACAAAAATTAGCCGGTATGGTGGAACGTGGCAGTGATCCCAGCTACTCAGGAGGCTGAGGCAGGAGAATTCCTTGAACCCAGGAGGCAGAGGTTGCAGTGAGCCCAAGATCGCGCCACTGCACTGCAGCCTGGGCAACAGAGTGAGACTCCGTCTCAAAAAAAAAGAAAAGAAAAGAAAAGAAAGTCAAAGAGACCTGTTTCCCCACACGTATCTCTACATCTCTAGTTTATCTTGTATAAGCTTCCAAGACAGGGAAAACTAAGGCACAATACAGACATGAACTGGCCAATGAAAATAGAAAGAGAATAGAGAATGGAGATAGGGGAGGCAGTAGAATGCTAGGAAAGATGGGAGAAAGAAAGGGAAAAAGACAAATTGCTGAGAAAAAGGAATGAGGCAACAGATGAACAGCATGAGTTGAGACGAATTAGGTGTAATGTTCCCCCAAGATGAGTGTGAATGGCAACTGACGAGGACAGAGAGCTCTGCTCTTCACAGAGTCAGGGTGACAAGGTTCTGCCCATTCACTGAACTGTTGCTACACAGCTCTAGAAGGACAGCAAAGTCAAGGAGAGAGAACACGCACCAGCATGACTAGACAGCCAGGACCTAGTGGGTGATAATCATCACGATTTTTTAAACCACAACCACCTTCTGTCATTAACAGGATGTTGTGAGAACAAGGAAATTTTCTGTCAGATGCTGAAATCTCTGGAAAGAGGTACCATTTAAATGCTAACGTTTATTATCAATGGTGATGGTGGTGATCAAGATGATGATGGAATGATGATGACTTACATTCAGAATCTCCGTACCTAGAACCATCTGCCTCAATGATGCCCAAGCACCTTTCAAATTTCATTAACTCTTACCTGTGTTTTAATTAATCATCATTTTAATAACCCTGGAAAGCATTCTAGAGGCTGCTGATAAAATGAGAAGCAAAATTAAATGATTAAGAGTAACTTTCATCTGACCGTGGGAAAATCACAGGCACTTTTGATGGCCTCATTTTGCTAGCGAACAATGCCATTCATCTGGATACATCCTATCCATGACTAGGACTAACCTTACAAGTAGATAAAGGCAGCATTCCAGAATGGTATAATTTAAGAAGCTTTCCTTGCCCCAAAATATCTCCCTTGCCCAGACATAAAAATACCCAACAATCTGTTTTTAAAGGTCTGTTCCTCTGGATTTCTCAGCAATGAGGTCTCCATTTTTAAAATGCAAATGCTTCTGGATTTTATCAAGAAACTCAGCTATCTTCACATCCTATAAATAGCTGTGGTTGTTTTTAATCTGATGTTTTCAACCTCTCTGAGGAGGGATCCCTGGCTGCATGAAATCATTAGTCATCCTAAAAACTGGGGTGGCACCAGACAGAGTAACAAGCATTTGAAAAATTAAAATAAATAAAAGAGAACAGCAAGCCCCTAATACAAGTCATTCATTTGGAGATTTTTGCTTAAGACTGATTTACCCCAGGTTATTTTACACATCCAGAGCTAGAATATGCCAGATTGCAAGTTAAAAGAGGACGCAAAGTAAAACATCTTCTGTAGCTCTAATGAAAACCAGCATCCAGGGAGTCCCAGTTGTTGTGCCCAACTTTCTTCTGCTAATACTCAAAGCAAGGAGATGAATAGTGTCCCATCCCTTAGCCCCACATCCACCTCCTGCCCCATTATTCTGGCTTTCATTTTTGCAGCCACAGAACTAGAGGAAGGAAGTTCTGGAATTTCTGGCAGAGGGAGCAAGACATATATACTCCCTCCAGTCACTGGCACTCTCACTGCCAAAATTCCTCCTTTGTTTACCACATTGCTCCCCTGCAGACTCAGGGCTCACACCCCTCACAGAGGGCACAGAGAGGTGAGTATCTTTCTAAGGACCTACTGTACTTCCTTCCAGATGAAGGTGCCAGCAAGCTTTCAGAATTTCTTTTTTAATCTTTTTATGCATCATAGAAAGCAAAGAGAAACTTGTTTGAGCCTTGAATCCTGGAGGGGAAGTAGACTAGCCTTCCACATACCTGGATGCAGTTCAATACTTGATTAGAAGACAATTGCTTGTTAGTCAGCTGCACAGGCTGAGATAGGTCACCAGCCCACAACCTAAGCCCTTCACCTCAGACAGACCACCCAAGTTCACCCACAGGGGCAGAGCAGGCCTAGCACCTCAGGCACCCTGCCACTGACATATATGCACCCCAGGAAAAGGAAATTGTATGTGTGTTCTGCCCACTTTTCTTAAGCATCATGAAAATCTCCGTGTACTGCCACCAAGTCTTTTGTGAGTGTGTGTGTATTTGTGTGTATGTGTCTATGTTGATATCTAACTATATGTAGATACACACACAAGGACAGAAACAGGGATATTCCCAACAGCAATACTGCATTACCAAGAGCTCATTTTCATCTGGCTGGCCAGCACTACAAAGTGGCTGTGTATTCTCGTGTAACACTCCTTGTCACCTACACCAATGTATGTGCACTGCCTAGAGAAGCCAGACTGAATCATGGCAGGGAAGACATCATCTCGAGTATCTTTAAGCTCATTATCAGCAAAGTTTATGTTAGCAGGGTTAATAGATGCTCTTCTGAGTCTATTTCTCTTCTCCCTACACTACCTACATTCCTATAACTCACCACTCTCCCTAACCCCTGTAAAACTTTACTTGCCCCATTGTTTGTGAGTAACTCAGTCTAGTACTTGGGTTTTCATACGGTTTTCAAATGTGGTTCCATTGATGTTGAGATGCATGAGAATCCTCCCAGATCTTGCCTGCTTGTGTCATCCACATTTTATCCTCCATATTTCAGCTAAGAAAGTTTCAAGTAGGTCCATCCGCATTTTAACTTCTGACTTTGAAAAATCTTGATGGAACCAGGATGAATTTCAGCCTGATGCTACTTGCAGATCACTTGTCTCCTCTCCACAGTAAGTAAGGTTTACCCATGACAAAGGCTATCATCTAAGAAAGCCACTTTGTGAGAGCAGCAGAAGGGCCACAGGAAGTTGCTTACTCTAGCTTTGTTTCATATTCTACTGGATGGCAAAAGTGTGGATAACTCTTGGCAGCCACTACTGGTTGGATGGCATTTTGCTTAGACTCCCCAGTGACCCTGAAGGACGTGCATACTTCTATTTTCTGAATAAGAGTTTCTACAAATCCCCAGAGATAGCTTTTCAATGTACAAATGTCCCATCAGTCTGCTCCTAAGACCACTTAAAGTCAGTATCTGCTCTAGTCCATATGACACTTAAGGAACAAGGGCCATTTTTTAATGCAACATGACTCACAAAATCTCTTCCTGGGTAGCTTATGAAAAGGAGGGAAACCAACTAGGGGAATATTGCTTTTATAAGTCAGCCTTAAAGAAAATAAGAAAAAACAAGTTGATTTTCAAAGCTATTCTTCTTGAACAAACTCAATATGTGGCTATTGAAATAACATATTTTGTAGTGTGCCCTTAAAATGACGTGAATAATACAGGGGAAACATTAAAACAGAAAGGCTTCCTTTACAGATGCTACTTAAGAAACTTAGACCCCGGAATTAAAATTTAAATATTTTAATGCCTTTTTACATTCCCTTTTGCCCCATCCCATTCTTCAAAAGAAGATGTTAGTATGAAACAGAACAAGATACCACTTAACATCAAAATGTCTAAACTTTCTAGAGGGGATATATTACTCTTTATTAGTTGATTTGATTGGGTAAATATTCCTCATGTGTATTTGATTTTTGTGCTGGCATTCATTACTCCATTGAGTAGGAACTATTTAATAGCTTCCAAATATTTAAAATAAGTTCAAACCAGCTACAAGTATAAAGATTGTATCTATAACCAAGGCCAGGCACTGTGGCTCACCCCTGTAATCCCAGCACTTTGGGAGGCCGAGCTGGATGGATCACTTGAGGTCAGAAGTTCGAGACCAGCCTGGCCAACATGGTGAAACACTATCTCTACTAAAAATACAAAAATTAGCCAGGTGTGATGGCACTCACTGTGGTCCCAGTTACTTGGGAGGCTGAGGCAGGAGAATTGCTTGAACTCAGGAGGCAAAGGCTGCAGCGAGCCAAGATTGTACCACTGCACTCCAGCCTGGGTGACAGAGCAAGACTCCATCTCAAAAAAACAATAATAATAATTAAAAAATAAAGATTGTATCTATAACCAAACAAAGCATACCTAATGGAAAATAAGTTACATCTCAGCCTACATAAAATATGGAGGAATATCAGATATATCAATAGTGGTATGATTACTTGCCCTCAATTTCGAGAACTATTATTTGCTTCCCCAAACCACACCCCAATCTCAACTCAAAAAAGCTTCAAATAAATTGATCCACACTGGGAGTACAAAATATAAAGTTTCAGATAATTTTTCTGCTCAGAGATTTAAAAGTGTAGGTCAATTTTGATCATCTTTAAAATTTTTTTAATTAAAAAAATTTTAGAATTTGACAAGAACCTAAATCTACTTTGTTGCAATTTGATAGCTGTGACAAGAAAAATTGACATCTTGGTTTACAAGGTAACATGTAGGAAACACTTATGAAGGGAAAAAAACTACGACAAAAGAAAGATCTATATGTAGAAAATATGGGCCTGGCACAGTGGATCACTCTGGTAATCCCAGCACTTTTGGAGGCCAAGATGGGTGTATCACTTAAGGCCTGGGGTTCGAGACCAGCCTGGCCAACATGGTGAAACCAAGTCTACTAAAAAGACAAAAATTAGCTGGGTGTGGCCTGTGATCCCAGCTACTCGCGAGGCTGAGGCAAGAGAATCGCCTAACCGGCAGGTGGAGGCTGCAGTGAGCCGGGATCGCACCACTGCATTCCAGCCTGGGCAACAGAGTGAGCCTCTGCCTCAACGAAAAGAAAGAAAGAAAATGTGTAAACAATAAATTTTAAAGCTGATAAAAATAATATATGGTGTTTTCCTCCCTAGGAATTGGTGAAAAATGTCTATACAAAATATCCCAGGGCTTCCCTTAATTTCTAAAGCAGACATTCTTGGGACTAAAACACAAGCCAATCAAGAAACCATATGTTGACAGTATAAGAATGTGAAGAAACTTTTCTGTTGGTAGAAAATTCCACCCCTATGGAAGACAAAAAAAAAAGTGTTTAAGTAGAGTTAAGGGGGAAAAAAAAGCCCCGGTGAGTTTAATAAGCACCATTATTGCTGAGAAATCTAAAAGGGTGATAATATGAATCACAAAAGAAGTACAATAGGGCAGCTCTTTGAAATTTGTTTTTCACACATCTAGTGTAAAAACAACGGCTCTTGCAAGAAAGGTCAATCCACCCACATGTTAATCTCCAATCAAACAGCACTTCGAGAATCCAAATGTGATTGCAAATCTCTCACATGCCAAGATGAAGGGGTTTTTCATTTCAATCTATCTATTACTACCAGCATTTTATATTCATTATGGTCAGGGGTTGAAGGGCACATTAGGTACTTGGCTGGTGCTGAATTCCAGCACTTCCCTCATTATACTAGAATAGAATTAACATATGAACACACACACAACTATGCTATGGTAACATGAAGTGTCTGACTTAACCTCACCCAAGTAATGAGATTCCGATGTAAGGCTTCCTCTCCAACCTTATTTCATCCCCCTGAAACCATTGCAGGGGGGCTCCTCAGCATGTCACAGCTCGCCGCATGTGCCCTAATAACAAGGTGCACCAGGAGGAGTGAAGAGCAAAGTTCAATTAGCAGAGTCTGTCCTTGCTTTTGTAAGTTTAGGTGAAACCCTGAAACTTCCTTTATCAACACATGTGATTGTGTCTTCATTTTCTTTTTTAACATAGTTCAGGTACTTTATTTGTAATTATCAAATATAATACATAAGGAGAAGTGCCTAAAACAAATGTACACCTTGATGAGCTACTGACATGCACAGCAACATAACTGGCACTCATGGCAAGACATACTATAAGAGAGTCCCAGACTTGCCACTTCTTCGATATAAATGCCTCCCTTCCTGCAGCTGTAACCAGTATCCCTGAAATATCTATTGGCTTCCTGGCTTTCTTTAAGATTTTATATATAATTCGCTGGGCGCCGTGGCTCACGCCTGTAATCCCAGCACTTTGGGAGGCTGAGGCGGGCAGATCACGAGGTCAGGAGATGGAGACCATTCTGGCTAACACGGTGAAACCTCGTCTCTACTAAATATACAAAAAAATTAGCCGGGCGTGGTGGCGGGCGCCTGTTGTGCCAGCTACTCAGGAGGCTGAGGCAGGAGAATGGCGTGAACCCGGAAAGGCGGAGCTAGCAGTGAGCCGAGATCGCGCCACTGCACTCCAACCTGGGCGACAGAGTGAGATTCAGTCTCAAAAGAAAAAAAAAAGATTTTATATATAATTATACATGCCTAAAATATGATTAC
Organism: Homo sapiens; assembly: GCF_000001405.40. Taxonomy (NCBI): domain Eukaryota; kingdom Metazoa; phylum Chordata; class Mammalia; order Primates; family Hominidae; genus Homo; species Homo sapiens. Next base: position 19,674,040 of record NC_000006.12, read on the forward strand.
ATTATGTCTGTTTTATTGATGTGATTCCATTTGCATAGGATATATCATGTCTGGCCTTTTTTTGTTCAATATTATGCCCTTAAGGTAGATCCACATTTCTTGTGTATTTGTAATTTATTCATTTTTATAGTTGCATACTACTCCAAAGCATGAGTATGTCATAATTAACTCACGTATTTGATTGTTGATGGGCATTTTGGCTCATTTTAATATATACACATATGCATACACACATATATTTTGGTCCATTGCAACGAAAATCTTAAGGCTGGGCATGGTGGCTGACACCTGTAATCCCAACACTTTGGGAGGCCGAGGTGGGCAGATTACTTGCAGTCAGGAGGTCAAAGCCAGCCTGGACAACACGGTGAAACCCAGTCTCTACAAAAAATACAAAAATTATCCTGGCGTGGTGCTACATGCCTGTAGTCCCAGCTACTCGGGAGGCTGAGGCAGGAGATTTGCTTGAACTCTGGAGGCAGAGGTTGCAGTGAGCTGAGATCGCACCACTGCACTCCAGCCTGGGTGACAGAGCAAGACTCTACCTCAAAAGAAAAGGAAAAAAAAAAAAGAAAAGAAAAATGTTAGATATCTTCTGATACACATCAGCAGGAATTTATGGTGAACATATACAGAAGAGTGAAATTACTGACTCATAGGGTATATGTATGTTTAGCTTTACTAGACACAAGCAAAAATTTTCCTGCGTTTCCATCTCACAAGCAATGCATGAGGGTTCTTGTTGCTTTACCTTCCCAATAACACTGAGGGTTTTTTTCTTGTATGTTTGTTTTGTTTTGTTTGGAATTTTGTTGCTGGTCTGGCTGGTGACCCTTCCCTTTCTAAGCAGAATAGTTTGAGGGGAAGGTCTCCTTGGACTTTCTGAACCTCTTAAAACCTGTAATCATTGACCCATTCTAAAGGTCATAAACACTTCCTGTGCACTATTAAAGAAACTTAATTTAGAACCTACTGAGGTGATAAACTATATTAATTCCAAATGACCTGCTACAATTTATAATATCTGGAGAAAACCCAATATAAAAAAGACTAAATTGATCAAAGATCCAATAGACCTACAACTAAGATGACAGAAGAACAAAGCAGGACTTGCTGTGTTGTCTCTAAATCAAATAAATAAACATGGGATTGGAGAAAAAAACTCAGATCTTATTACTGTGTCAGAGAAAAATTAATCACAAAGAAATATAAATCTGAGAAAAGTAGTATGGGAATTAAATAAAGTAAAAACCTACTCTCCCTTAATTTCTATATCCTCCTACACATGCACGTACACTCACACACACACATTCACTCACCACCTCCAGCATTAATTAGTGAGTGACTTCTTTCCCTTGAAATGCTGACGAGTTCCAGCTGAATACACTAAAAAAAGAAAATTGAAAATCATTTGAATATGGGTTTATATTTTTCCAAGAATGTATTTCTGTCATGACTGAGTTCCTACATACAGAGCCTTATACAAAATGGGCATTTTCTTCACAAGTTTTCTGCTAAATAGGGATCTACATGAACACCCCAAGGATGTTTACTAAACAACTCTTTTGTTTTCTATTTAGAAAATTGACAGGAAATATAAATTTGTGTGGGAAAGCATAGAAAGGACACAGTCAATAGATGCCTCCATAACCCTTAGCAAAGTGTTTGATTCACTGGCTTTTAAAATCAGGACTATGTCTTTCCTTACCTATGTCTTTTTAGACAGCAGAATGAATCAAAATTTAATTTGTTTTGGAGATTATTTACTGTTGCATATCTCATCTGTGGCAAAATCCTACAATGCGTAGGTTAGATCAATAGTTAATTGGGAGAGAAAATATCTTGAATTGATCGCTTTTCTGACATGAACTCATTTACAAACAAAAGGAAGAGATTTTAGGAGGTATTTAATAGACGATGGACCAGTGGGTCACAATTATCGTATTTATCTGAAGAAACTTTAAAAAATGCAGATGTCCTAAAAATTCTGATTCAATGGCATTGGCATATCATATGTATTTTTAAGAATGAGAAAACTTGGGGCCAGGCACGGTGGCTCACACCTGTAATCCCAGCACTTTGGGAGGCCAAGGCGGGCGGATCACGAGGTCAGGAGATGGAGACCATCCTGGCTAACATGCTGAAAACCCGTCTCTACTAAAAAATAGAAAAAATTAGCCAGGCCTGGTGGTGGGCGCCTGTAGTCCCAGCTACTCGGGAGGCTGAGGCAGGAGAATGGCGTGAACCCAGGAGGGGAAGCTTTCAGTGACGATCGTACCACTGCACTCCAGCCTGGGCAACAGAGCGAGACTCCGTCTCAGAAAAAAGAAAAAATAAAATAAAATAAAAAATAAGAATGAGAAAACTTGTGACTGTAATAACTCATATACTCCTTGGTGAGTAGATGAGTTCATTAGGTCTTATGTATAGGGCACTGCCCGGTGGCAACAGGATACCTCTAGAGAGCTGCACTGTGGCCGGGCACAGTGGCTCATGCCTGTAATCCCAGCACATTGGGAGGCCAAGGTGGGTGAATCACCTGAGGTCAGGAGTTTGAGACCAGCCTGGCCAACATGGTGAAACCCCGCCTCTACTAAAAACACAAAATTCGCTGGGCGTGGTGGCACACGCCTGTAATCCTAGTTACTCGAGAGGCTGAGGCGGCAGAATTGCTTCAACCTGGGAGGTGAAGATTGCCGTGAGCCAAGATCACACCACTGCACTCCAGCCTGGCAGACGGGACGAGACTCTGCCTAAAAAAAAAAAGAAAAAAAAAAAAGAGTTGCACAGCCTCCCATCTCTAAGCAACTTTAAGTTCATTTTCTGATTCTTTGTCTACTCTGCGTGTGCATGTGTGATGAGACCGTTTTCCCTGTTTTCCTTGGTATGTTCCCAGCTATGCCCCGGGATGTTTGGGTTCTCAGGGACACCTGCTCCTGAGCTGGGCACCATGGCCTTGGCTCATGACCCAGCCTTCAAGACACAAGCAGCGGACGTACACCCTTAAGTACCCTGGTGGGGGACCCATCACACCACCCCCTGGTGGCTCTGAAGACTAGTTAATGTTAAAAACAATTGAAATAGGCCGGGCACGGTGGCTGACACCTGTAATCCCAGCACCTTGGGAGTCCAAGGCGGGCGGATCATGAGGTCAGGAGATGGAAACCATCCTGGCTAACACGGTGAAACCCCGTCTCTACTAAAAATACAAAAAATTAGCCAGGCGCGGTGGCGGGCGCCTGTAGTCCCAGCTACTCGGGAGGCTGAGGCAGGAGTATGGCGTGAACCCAGGAGGCGGAGCTTGCAGTGAGCCGAGATCGTGCCACTGCACTCCAGCCTGGACAACAGAGTGAGACTATGTCTCAAAAAAAAAAAAAAAGAAAGAAAGAAAGAAGAAGAAACTTGAAAAAAAAATCAAGTAACAAAAGACTGAATCCTTATATTTGTGACATTTTTAAAGATTATTAACATTAGTGAGTGTATCAAGTTTATGGTGTGGCATGCCCAGGCTGCTCCTTTTACCTCTTCCTTGCCGCCTTCCCACCCGTGGTAACAAAGAAATATGACAATGACTTTGTCTTTGCACCCTATTTCTTTTCACAAGGGCTACTTTTAGCTAAGCTCATTGTGCGTTTTTTCACAATATGTAAGACTTTATTTCTGAGAGGTCACTAACAACATTCCACTATGTTCTGGTTGATGATAACTTTGTTCCACATATTGCCATTGTGTCCAAACATTTGTACTTTTTCAAATATGAAAGAACCAAAGAACCAAATTGGTCAAAGGTTAGTTTTTTTAAAGCCACAATATTTTTGGTCTACTTTTTTATTTGAAGAAAAGTATTACCATGTGCTCTATTAACATTGCTCTATGGAACAATTCACAAAAGAAGCAATCAAAACTCCAGATAAAAACCTGTGTATTTTAGCAGCCCTGCAAATTATCAAAATTTCACTGGGATAATAAGTATTGTTACCAAATGAAGTGAAAGTGGAATCTAAGTTAACACTTTATTCAAAGCAACTGAGACTCAGTGACTCCCCAGACACACACTGGCAAGGTTCCAACCCCGACCAAAAATAATGATCCTCAATCCTGCCCATCCCAAACCCCGGTCTACCCCCTCAAAGATGGACAAGGAGATTTCCAATGCTAAAGCTATAACCATGAGGAAAAAACAAGCCACTAAATTCAAGCTATAAAGTAATTCACTACAATTTTGCATTTTTCCTTTTCAAATAATTAATATAGATATTTTGTCTTGTAGCCAAAATGGCATGCTTTCTATTAAAGCAGCACAGGCTAAAACTGTGGTTATTCTAAATAGAAGACTATAAGGACCAAAGCATCAAATGATTGCTGTATATCTGAACTAGAACTTTATGATTAATTCTATAAAAATAATAATTAATCTTCTGAATACCAAATGGCAGACACTACGCAGAATAAGGTAACACAAGAAACTCAGTGATAACAGATCATTAAGAAGCAATATGGTTTTCTTGAATAATAACAAAATGTTGTTTCCTTCCCTCTAAAAACAAAAAACTATTAGCTAAAGCATTACTTGAATGGCCTATTAAAGCCAAATAACTAATAAAAAACATGAGGTTATTATCCTCAATGATTAAAAATCGCCACCCATTATAAATATATCCAGTAATCTGAAATTGCTTAAAAGGAAATCAGATATACACACCATTTCCCCAGGATGAAAGCTGATTTCTTTTTTTTTATTGTCAAAGTGCTTTCTTTTTTAAAGAAATGTTTCTTTCCCACAATGAATAAATAAACACAAACATTCAGAAATCCTTACAAACAAGTGCAATGATACCCTGTCTTCATAATAAATAATGTCAATTTTAAAGAAACAAGACATTCAAGTTTACCAGGTAAAGTCATTCTCATCCCTTCTCTCTGTTCCACACATTAAATATAACCCAAGCCATTGTAAGTGAAGTGAGGTCAAAAAAACACTCAAGATAAAAATTTGATTCTTGGAATTAGAACATAGACTTGGCTTTCTCTAGTCAAGTAAGAGTGCTAAATGCATTGTCCTCCCTGTGGTCAGCAAATTGGAAAAACTTTAATTTTTTTAAAGGTTCATTTGTCATTCTTAAGGGTTGTCTCTTTAATATAGTACTTGAAAACAAACTTGTCGCACTTTCTTATACTCCTAAAACAATAATAATGTGCTTAAAAAATGATCTTCATATTATTAGAAAATGTTTTTGTTTTTATAACTGTGATTATATAAACCAGTACCTGAAAGGTCATTATTTTTTCTAACCCATATAACATAACCAAATATAAGCCTTAGTATTAGCTTTTTACTGTGTAATTATTTTCTTAAAAAAAAAAACTTTGTGTGAGAGTATGGTAGAACAAAATATAGTAAGAAAATATTTCAGGTATAGAACTAACATATTTTAAATATTTAAATATATAACTGAACTCTGTGTGTGTGTGTGTGTGTGTGTGTGTGTGTGTGCGCGCGCATGTGGTGGATAGTCTCAAAGGCTGAAAACATCCAGAAATCTTGAGTCTAGAATTAACCAAGCACTGGAATTAATAGTGGCCTTAGGACCTTCCGCCAAACCACGATGTCAGGTAACTTCAGTTTTAATGGTCTGTTTTTTCACAGAGGTCAGAAGACCAAGCCTACAGTCATTCCCTGTGAACAAGTACAGTGAATTAAGGAAACACACTCACATACACACACACGGTATATGTGATATAGATATAGAACTTTGCCTATCTCTTCCTTGACTTGGGATAGAGGGGGAAAGTCTCCATTAAGATTTCAATCATGTAGCATTGGGACTACAATTCATACTATTTAACCCTAAAACTCTAAGCTGATAATTATTTTTAAATGGTCCTTCATTGGTAGTGGTTCCTAGAACTGAGTAAAACCAAAGGTGAATCTCAATTTAAAGGAAACACTTTCAACTCAGGCCTAGAAGAATCCTACAATCAAGAGTTAAATTCTCACAGCTAAAAAGAAAACAGTGTATTTGTTATTAGCTCGAGCTGGGAGGGATAATAAATAACAAATTAGGTCCACAAACCTACAGATACTGGAATAATCAGATAAATAATAAAAAGTAAATTAAATATATTGAATATGTTTAAATAAGAGGGCATTTAAATTCTTTCAGAAGAAGAGGAGACTAAATGAGGTATATTTGAAATATAACCACATAGATTATATAGAAATGAAATATATAATAATTGAAATCAAAACTTTAATAAACTAGTTAAACATCTGGTAAGACAAAGCTGAAGACAAAATCAATGCACTGGAAAGTAGATCTGGGGAAATTACACAATATGAAGTCCAGAAGGATAAAGGGAAAAAATATATGAAATGAAGGGTTAAAAAAAAAAAAGGTGGGCCATAAATAGAGGTTATCTAATATTCATCAACTGACATGCATAAAAGAAATAACAGAAGAATGCGGGAGAGAATATTCAAAGAAATTTGCTAAAGTTTGTTTTAGAATTAAGAAAAAATGCAAGTTTTCAGATTCCCAATATACCCTAAGTAGAATAAATAAATAGAAATCTATCTCTGGACACATTGAAAAACCTGCAGAGCAACAAAGACAATAAAAAGACCTTAAAAGAAGTCAGAGGTTAAAAACAAATTTTTTAAAAAATAATTAGGCAGCTGACTTTTCAACAGTAATAACAGAAGCCAGAAAAGAGCAAAATTATATCAAAAAGTGCTACTGAAAAATGTCAATTTTATAGACAGTAAAATTATGGTGTAGGAATATGGGCACAATACAGGCAACAAATAAGACTTTGAGTCTGTACTATTAACAGAGGCTAAATAAAGACATGCATATGTGATTTAATTTAGTAAAAATAAAAATGAGGAAAAAAGTAAAGCCTAAGAGACAAGAAAGAATGGTGAGAAACTCAAGAAAAGAAACTAGTGAACATGGGTTAATCTTTAATAAACAACCCTGAATATATAAAACAATATCTTTAGCCAAGTGTGGTGGTGCACACCTGTAGTCCCAGCTACCCAGGCGGCCTGCTGAGGTGGGAGGATAGCTTCAGGCCAGGAGGTCGAGGCTACAGTGAGCCATGTTTGTCAAATAAGAAAGCAGAAAAGTAATGGGAATTCAACTATTCTAAAGTCACTACATTGTTGGGCAAGTGAAGAATTAGTTTAAGATTATAAAATTAAAAATTCAGAGTAAGGATTAAAGTCAAAACAAATACTAGAGTAAAAATAGAATAGAGGATTTACAGTAACACATTTGAAATAAATCCAAATGTATGACTAATCACAGTAAACTTAAATGGACTACACATGTTAAAAGTCAAGGTGTTTCAGGCTAGATTTTTAAAAATTCAGCCATCAAATATATTTAATATATCTGAATATATGTATTTTAATACATGTATTTTAATTCTAGTATATCTGAATATATGTATATTCAGATATATTAAAATATATATCACATATAACATATTCAGATATATTAAAATTCAGATATACTGATTCAGTTTACATTAGACAACATAAAATATAAAACTAATGTCAGAAATGATATAATTTATGACAAAAAATAATTCTAGAGATAAAGAGAACACAATAGTGTAAAAGGTTAAATTCACCAGAAAGATATGATAATTTAAGTTTGTATATGCTCAAAATATAATTTCAATATGAAAATTGAATTTCATGAAATTCATGAAATTTGATGAAATTTGAGAGAACTACAAAGGTAAACTTACAAATCTGTTTTCATAGTAAGATTTTAAAACATCTTTCTCATTAAGAAATAAGCAAAGATAGCCAGGCATGGTGGCTCATGCCTCTAGTCCCACCACTTTGGGAGGCCAAGGTGGGAGGATCACTTGAGGCCAGGAGTTTGAGACCAGCCTGGCCAACATGGTGAAACCCTGTCTCTACTGAAAATACAAAAATTAGCCAGGCATGGTGGCATGCACCTGTGGTCCCAGCTACTTGGGAGGCTGAGGCATCAGAATTGCTTTAACCCAGGAGGAAGAGGTTGCAGAGAACTGAGATAATGCCACTGTACTCCAGTCTGGGTGACAGAGCAAGACTCTGTCTCAAAAAAAAAAAAAAAAAAAGAAAGAAAGAAAGAAAGAAAAAGAAAAAAAGAAAAAAGAAAAGAAAAAGAAATAAGTAGGAACACAGAACACGATTTGTATCCTCAATATTATAAACTATATTAAATTATTTCTAATAATTGGAAAAAACACATTTTCTTAAACCACATGTAGATCATTTGCAAATTATAAAATGTTCTTTTATGAAAATATAATAATTACAAAAATTTATAGTCACAGAAAACTTATTAAATGCTCATACACTTGAAAAATAAAAATATACTTGTAAGTAACTCAGTGATGTCGGTAATAAAATATTTAGAGAAAAAATTAATGCATTCAATGCCTACATCATGAGTAAGAAAAGACTGAAAAATACTGAACTAAGGCAAAAACTTAGAAATTAAAAAAATAGAATGGCCCCAAATAAAGTAAGTGGAAAATAAAAAAGAATTAAAACATACAATAGGGGATCAAAAATGCAAAGCTGGCCCTTTCAAAAAGACTATTAAATTCACAAACCTCTGCCAAGTTTGATTAATAGGGACATCATACAAATAAACAATATTGTAATGAAATGGGTATATAACTACAGGGGCTCCAACAATTAAAAAAATAGTAAAAGAATATTATCAAGTTTATTCTACCAATAAAGTTATAAATTCTTTAAAAAATATATTTTACTTAGCTTGCAAGATGGACTCAAGAAGAAATAGACCACATGAATAGTTTTAAAACTATTAAAGGAAAAATCTTTTTAAGGTTTGAAGCCTGATTTTATTAGGCAGCTGTGTGATGTTGGTTTAGTTATAAACTTTTATACATAAACAGGGATGGTATTAAGTAACTCACAAGTACATTTCAGCTCAAATGTAGGTAATTTATGGAGAAAGTACTTTGTGAAATGTTACTGGTAATATAGTTATAGTTATATGGGCAATAAAAGCAACATGACCTCTGCATTGGGGTAGATTAAGTAACAAGCATGATTCTCCCCTCACTTCCCCTCCACAAATTCAGACACAAGTAACATTAGAGGCAACTTTTAATACATCTAAGGCCTTTGGGATGGATTGGGCATAGGAGGAAACTAGGGGACTACTGGTCTTTTGGGTAGATGTTGGTCTCTTCAGCCTTTAGTAGAATTAGATGGGGTAGAGTATTACGATTGTATCTCATTCTTTTTATTTTTCCTTTTCTCTTTTTTTTTGACAACTTTTTTCGTTTTTTGACAACTAAAAATTGCATATATTTATCGTGTACAACATTATGCTTTGAAATCTGTATACATTATGGAATGATTAAATCAAGCTAATTAACAAACGCATTACCTCATATACTTATTTTTTTGTGTGGTGAGAACACTTAAACTATACTCTCAGCAATTTTCAAGAATACAGTTTTCGAGAATGCATTGTTATTAACTATAGTCACCATGTTTCACGATAGATCTTTTGAACTTATTCCTCCTGTTTAACTGAAACTTGACACCCTTTGACTAACATTTACCCAGCCCACCCAGCCCCTGACAACCCGCATTCTGCTCTCGAATTCTGTGAGTTTAACTTTTTTAGATTCCACATATAAGCGAGATCACATGATATTTTGCCTTTCTTTGCCTAGCTTATTTCACATAACATAACATCCTCCAGTTTCACCCATGTTGTCGCAAATGATAGAATTTGGGGTTTTTTTGTAAGGCTGAATAGTGTCCTATTGTGTGTATATACCACATTTTCTTTATTCTCCCATTGAAGGACCCTTAGATCGATTCCATCTCTTGGCTATTGTGAATAATGCTGCAGTGAACATGGGAGTGCAAATATCTCTACAACGTACTGATTTTATTTCCTTTGGAATATATCCTGCAGTGGGATTGCCAGATCATATGATAGTCCCATTTTAATTTTAGGAAGAAACAGAAGAAAGTAGAATGGTAGTTGCCAGAGGGACTGGAGGAACAGGAAAAATGGGGAGTTGTTTAATAGGTATAGAATTTCAGTTTTGCAAGATGAAAAAGTTCTGGAGATGGGTTGCACAACAAAGTGGACATATTTAACACTACTGAGAGTACACTTAGAAATGGTTAAGATGGTAAATTTTATTGTGTGCTTTTTTGCTGCTACAATACAAAATTTAAAATTCCATTTTAATTTCTTGAAAAATGTAAATTTCCTTCAACTTCAGAAAATTTATTAATATAATTTACCATATTAAAAATTATAGGACAAATATGATTAGAGATAGGGAAAAAAGCGTTTATTAAAATCAATGTTCATGCTTGAGTTTTAAACAGCCTAAACTTGAGTTTGAGACCAGCCTGGCCAACATGGTGAAACCCTGTCTCTACTAATAATACAAATATGAGCCAGCGTGGTGGCAGGTGCCCTGTAATCCCAGCTACTTGAGAGGCTGAGGCAAGAATCACTTGAACCCGGGAGGCGGAAGTTTCAGTGAGCCAAGATCGTGCCACTGCACTCCGGCCTGGGCAACAGAGCAAGATTCTGTCTCAAAAAAAAAAACACAGCCTAAGCTCTTCGTCAAAACTTATCTTCATATAGTTACACATACATACGTACTTTACAACAAACATCATACTTAATGGTAAAACATTAAAAGAACTCCTTTTTTGTTGTTGTTTTTTGAGAAGGAGTCTTGCTCGCTGCCCAGACTGGAGTGCAGTGGCGCAATCTCGGTTCACTGCAACCTCTGCCTTCCGGGTTCAAGTGATTCTCCTGCCTCAGCCTCCCAAGTAGGTGGGATTACAGGCAGCCGCCACCACGCCCAGCTAATTTTTGTATTTTTAGTAGAGACGGGGTTTCGCCATGTTGGCCAGGTTGGTCTCGAACTCCTGACCTCCGGTGATCCGCCCGCCTCGGCCTCCCGAAGTGCTGGGATTACAGGCGTGAGCCACCGCGCCCGGCCCAAAGAACTCCTTTTAAAATCTTGGAAAGACATATGCTATTACCACTTTTATATTAACTCTATTCTGAAGGTCCTAATACCAAAAAAAAAAAAAAAAAAAAAAAAAAGATACGGTGGATGTAGGAGACAAACAGGAAGCAGCAGAAGGGAAGAAGAAAAGAAGGAAATAAGAAAAGAGAGGCAGGGAAGGAGGAAGGCATAAAAAAAGAAAAAAGAAAAGTTAAAGTCATAAGGAAAGGAAATAATAAAATTATTATTTTTCTTACATGATATTATTTTTCTTACAAGATGCTCTTCAAAAAATAATCCGTCAATCTATAGATAAACTATCAAATTTAGTAAGACAATTCAATAAAGTTGCTAGATACAGTTGATACATAAAAGTCAATCGCATTACCATAGAAGAGCAATACATAGAGCATTTAATGGATTTAAAATATCACATTTCTAATGCCATCAAAATATTATGTATCCAGAACAAAACCCATGTGAGACCTTTAAAGAGAAAATTATCAACTTTTGTTTAAAGAAAGTATAAATAAATGGAGAGATTTATCATATTCATGGATTAGAAAATCCAACATTGTGATATCAAAGAATATGTCAACTCCTCCAATTGAACTGCAGATCCATGGCAATTTCAACCAAAACTCAGAAAGGACTTTATATGGAATCTATGAAGCTGATTCTAAAATGTACGTGAAAGAGCAAAGGATCAAGAATAGTCAAGACGCTCATGAAGAAGCGTCAAGTAAGAGTTCATCGTCTCCCCGATGTGAACACAAACAAACCATTCTTAATTAAGATGGTGTAGAATTAGGACATATATAGTGAAATACACTAACAGAACACAACTGAGGGCCATGAGATAGACCCAGGTATATATGCAAATCTAACATATGATAGAAGTAACATCATACACCAACAGGAAAGCAAGGGCCACTTAATAAATAATGCTTAATAAAACATGGATGACCAGTTACCCCTTTAGAAAAAGTGCAGTTGGACCTCCTCCTCACATCATAGGCAAAAAAACAGTTTCAGACTGATTGAGGGCTTAACACTTTTTAAAAAAGAATGTGATGTCTTTTTGATAGAAGGATATCTTAAATAAGACCAAAAAAAAGTAAAATCATAAAAAAGTGGTTGATGTCATTGAAACCTAAGAACCTCAGTTTATCAAAAGATATCTTAAGAAGAATGAAAATCCCAGCCACAAGAGTAATAAAGATTATTTGTAATGTATATCATCATCTGAGGAGTGTGAGATTATTCCTAATAATCAGTAAAAAAATAGCTCAGTAGAAGGGGAGCAAACTATATGGAAACACCAAAACATGAATGACCAATAAACATGAAAAATGATCAACCTCATTAATAATCAAGGCAAGGAAAATAAAAAACAAAATGAGGTAAAATTGTACCACCCTCAGGTTGACAAAATTTAAAATTCTGACAACACAATGTGTTAGGAAGAATATAGAGTAACTGGAACTCGTATACACTGTGGTAGGAGTGTTTTCTTTTTAGAAAATAATTTTGCCATTATCGTGCAAAGCTGAGGAAGTACGTGCCAATTTAATTCTACTGTGCAAACACATGAAATCAGTTTAGGGGTTACTATTTTGTTAATAAAAATTATAGACTAGACAGAATAGAAATTAATAATGCATCACAAAGGCAAGATGCCCTAGGGATGATGTGGCACCTGTGTGCCAAGAAACAAGTATAATAATGATTGTAGCAGCATTTTTTATAATAGCAAAATAAATGGAAACAACCCAAATGTCCACCAGCAGTAGAACTGGTAAACAAAACAGTTATACAAAGTAAATAAATTCAAGGCTTACTGTTCTTATCAGTAAGGATATGGAATACCCTGTTCCAGAAGTTTCTGCTCTTGTTAATTCTCCCTTTTCCTCTGGAGAATAAAAATCTGTTATTTCTGGATATCTGCCCTCTACACTGTATTTACATAAAATTGACCTATTGAATTCAATCCATGGTTTTATTTCAGAACTAGAAAATACCCAAGATCCTTATTTATTCTATCACTTTCCCGTTTCTTCCCTCTAATTTCCCACTTCCATTTCCTCCCTCACCTCAAAATACACACACATACTCACACACACATTTCTTGACATCCTCGTAATTTGACCTCTAAAAACCTCAGGTCTTTCAAAATACCTGTGGAAAAAATACTATCACCGTCTCTCTGCAGTGGTAGTTTAATGCCCTTAAAACCTTCACTCCTAGCTCTACCTTTAGGAACAAGAAAACAATTTTTCAATACCTGAACAAGAGCAGAGGATGATTAAGGTACAAATTTTATAGGCTAGTTTATTTTATTTCTAATTATATTCTTAGTAAATGATGTTAATATTTAATAGGAATGACTTTGACACTCAGTGCTTTGCCCAGTAAAACCAGAGCCCTTAGCATTTTATTGGCACTAAAGCAGTCAGCTGTGACACAGGATAATGGCAAGGGTAAAGAAGATCTGCTCCGTCCCTAAATTAAATGTCTCCTCAATGACTCGAATGTTCAGGTAGAAATAGCAGTTGCTCAAAGAAAATGACTCCTTTACACTGAAAAACAATCAACAGAGCGTTTCCCACAAATCCAAGGAGACAGTAACACATAGAGAGGAGATCACAATAATTTTAATGGGTGTTGACAATATTATCATAATAGAGTTGCCTGTTTAAACCAATGCTGACTCTACTGCATGTGTATGTACAATGTGGTTTAAGTAAACCGAAGCAGATGCAATACATATAATTCAGAAAGAACTGGAAGGATTGTCTACTCCTCTTGCTGTCAATGAGAAAAGGGTGAAACAAATGACTTACTGGACACTGTATATTTCAACAGCATTGCCTCTCATGTTCAACACAAAAATCACAAAGGCAGTCATTGGTGAGGATCCCTTGTCTGCTAGATCACTATTCTCCAGCATGTTATGATACCCATTAAACGAAAGATAAATTATAGGTGTTTGTTTATTTTACAATGATTTACATAAGACTTCTCATGCTATATATTTCCTTAGTGCACATAAAAATATGACTTGAGTGAAACATCTCCTACAATTTTACTACTTGCCTCTCAACTAGCCTGACATGTGTCCATGGCCAAGTCGCTAGGTTTTTTGTTTGTTTTGTTTTGTTTTTGTTGTTGTTTTGGGTTTTTTTGGTTTTGTTTTTGAGACAGAGTTTTGCTCTTGTTGCCCAGGCTGGAGTGCAATGGCACGATCTAGGCTCACCACAACCTCCGCTTCCCAGGTTCAAGCGACTCTCCTGCCTCAGCCTCCTGAGTAGCTGGGATTACAGGCATGCGCCACCATGCCTGGCTAATTTTTTGTATTTTTAGTATAGACGGGGTTTCTCCATGTTGGTCAGGCTGGTCTTGAACTCCTGACCTCAGGTGATCCGCCTGCCTGGGCCTCCTAAAGTGCTGGGATTACAGGCATGAGCTACCGGGCCGGCGGTAAAGTAGGCTTTATACAGAAGATACATTTCATCCATTTAGCTTAGTAGCATGTAAACAGACAGTAACTTAATGCCAAGCTACTTCATGAGGCATCATCATCAAAATTATTGTTTTCATGTATCTATTTCTGTGTGGCTCTATACTAAGCATTATGAAAAGTCGGAATGAAAATATCTAGCCCTTTCAGGATATACAATTTAAAACAAAATGGGAAAAATCAGCATACTCATATAGACACTAAGCAGAAGCAGAAGATTAGTATGTTTTATTATATTAAATGGTTAGATGAATGAAAAGGAGTTGTAAGATTTCACTTCAGGATGGTTAGGGTCTCACATGAAAATATCAGCCTCTCAGGCTGGGTGCGGTGGCTCACGCCTATAATCCCAGTACTTTGGGAGGCCGAGGCGGGCGGATCCTGAGGTCGGGAGATCAAGACCATCCTGGCTAACACAGTGAAACCCTGTCTCTACTAAAAAAATACAAAAAATTAGCTGGGCGTGGTGGCGGGCACCTGTAGTCCCAGCTACTCGGGAGGCTGAGGCAGGAGAATGTCGTGAACCCGGAAGGCGGAGCTTGCAGTGAGCTGAAATTGTGCCACTGCACTCCAGCCTGGGTGACAGAGCAAGACTCCGTCTCAAAAAAGAAAAAAAAGAAAGAAAAAGAAAATATCAACCTCTCTGTCCTGAAGGCTTATTTGAGGAGTTGGGTTTGAAGAGTTGCCTTAATCATTAATCAGAGGAGCTTGTCAAGGGTTTCAGAGAAAAGGAACACTCCAGAAGAGACCAAAGCATAGAGTAACTGATAACAGGGGCATGATTACTAAGAGAGCCAAGGGGAATCTTCAGTGCAGTGGATCTCGACGTAGTTCAAGATCAGTTAAGTATATTTCATTTATATACCACCCCCCTTTGTGAATCCATTCATTCGGCCAGGTAGACCTAGTGTTTTCTAATGCTTATCTATTACTCCAGAAGACTCTATTTGCTTTGAGTTCCTAAATACATCAAGTCAGCAATCTCTAAAAACCTATATTAGAAAAATATTTACATTTAAGAATAGTCCCTCAATTTCACTTAATTTCTAGTGTGGATAGTTCAATCAACACTGATTGAGCCATCTACACTAGGAAAATTTTGGCATCTTGTGTTCTCTCGAAATTATATAGTTCTTTGATTCTTTTAGGCTAGAAGTTCTTCAAGTGATTCTGCGGCACATTGAAGTTGAAAACCACTGCTTTATACCTGTCAGGCAATGGAGCATGCACACTTACCCAGGCTCTCTTTGTTAGAACAGGCATTTCGGCTCAACTGTACAAATACTGCAAGAAAAAAAAACGGTTTTATGGCTGAATATTAACATTGAAAATGGCATATTTCTGTTGGTCATAAATACTCTCTCAAATGGGAAAACATTGTTAAATACTATGCACTTATAAACTTTCAGAGTAGTCAGCATTGTAAATAGTGGTGTTTTATAAACTATTTTCCAATACATTGCCAATGAAGACAATAGACAATAAGCTCCCAAGGGTCTTCATTCCCCTCCTGGGTCTCCCAGTGATAAGGACGCTAATAGGCTGAGATCTCACAGAATTTCAATAAGAGTGTCAGAGGTATTTGAACCAAAGCAACTCCATCTTGAATAGGGGTTGGGTAAAAAAAGACCGAGATCCCACTGGGCTGTATTCCCAGGTGGTATTACTCACAAGATGAGATGGGAGGTCGGCACAAGATACAGGTCATAAAGACCTTGCTGATAAAACAGCATGCGGTAAAAGAAGCTACCAAATCCCACCAAAGTCAAGATGGCAAAGAAAGTGACCTCTGGTTGTCCTCACTGCTCATTATATGCTAATTATAATGCATTAGCATGCTAAAAGACACACCCAACAGCATCATGACAGTTTACAGATGCCATGGCAACATCAGGAAGCTACCCTATATGGTCTAAAAGGGGGAGGAAACCTCAGTTCCGGGAACTGTCCACCCCTTTCCCAGAAGACTCATGAAGAATACACCCCTTGTTTAACATATAACCAAGAAATAACTGTTAAGTATTATCCGTGGAGCAGCCCAAGCTGCTGCTCTGTCTGTGGAGTTGCCATTCTTTATTCCTTTGCTTTCTTAACAGATTTGCTTTCAATAAACTTGCTTTCTTAATAAACTTGCCTGGAATACTTTCTTGTGTGAGATCCAAGAGCCTTCTCTTGGGATCTGGATTGGGCCCCTTTCTGATAACAAGAATTCACTTTTCTGTGTATGACAGGTGAGAGGATGGCCCCCGGGAAGAAAGTTTGGAAAAAGTCTCCTGGACCGGAAGCGGAAGGGAGGGAGGGAGAGAGGGAAAGAGGAAGTGGGGAAAAAAGACCTGAGATGTAGATTCTTGACCACAGGCAAGTCCTTCATGGTCCTTTTCCTGGCAGATCTTAGACATCTCATGTGCTTTGCCCAGTTCTCACTGTTGATGCCTAGAAATTAATGGTTTCATAGTGGGATAATGCCATTCCTCTGAAGTCTAGGTCTGATACCCATCAGCAGTATTTAAAACCACACAACCCTTTTTGAAATACCAAAATAGCTAAGCCGAATAAAAAATATAAACTTTGACAGGCAAACTAAGATGCTTTCATGCATTTTATGCTAAAACCGTACCAACTCTCCGTAAAACTCTTTACCTGCGTTCGCCCCATCCCCTGGTTCGCATTGTTCTCAGTAATGAAGACCTCCTTGCCTATCACTAACACCAATTAGCTTACACCAAACTTCAGGACGCCAAGGAAAAGGAAAAATCACTCTTCCAGCAGCGGTCATTTAAGAAAAAAAAAAATTGATAATAATGTGGAACTCCCTCCAAAATTAGCCTACACCGTGATATAAATTGGTTTTCTTTGTGATCTAAAATTGACTCGCAGTTGACTAGTTAGAAAATAGTTGCTGAAAAGCCGGGGCCTTGGAGCTTTCGGATCCTGCCCGCCTTTCATCATGTAAACAAACGCATCAGATTTAAAGCTTTCCCATAATTGTTATGCTAACCTTGGAGCGCAACCTCTCCATTTGCATTTGAAGGAGCTAAATATTAGGCAGGAAAGAAAGTGCTCTTTTTGAAAGCCTGAGAAAATGTCCCCGCTCGGGGCTGCTCCGCCATCTGGGCCGCGGGCTGGGCGCGCGGCTCCCGCCCCCAGCTCCTTGGCAGAGGCGCCGGAGGAAGGGGCGCCGCGAAGGGCCGTCATCTTGTTGGAAAAGAATGCAGAAATGCCCCCCTAAGGCTGAATGAGCACCACTTCCACACTCAGGGCGGGGGAGGCCGGGGGACGTGGGAGCGGCGCGCCAGGAGCGAGGCGTCCCTGGTGACAGCGCGTCCCGAGGGCTCTCCCTTTTCCCAGAGCGCATACCAAAGGCAGACTCCTTTGCAGGCTCCACGAGCCCCATTCGCGGTGGAAAGGGGCGTTCCAGACTGCAGGGTGAGGGGCTCCGGTGTGTGTGTGGTGTGTGTGGTGTGTGTGTGTACGCGCGCGCACGCCCTTAAGGAAAAATCCATCTTTTATAAGTGCTGTGGCCCACTTTTAACTGGATCTCGTGGAGTACTCAGATACAGCCGGTATAGTGAAGGCTAATAGCATCAGCACACTTTCGCGCATTAATCTTGGAGTAATTAAAAATAAAAACAGTGAGCTATGGGGTTTTGTTAAACAAGGGAGAAAAAAGGTTCCAACCTCCCATCAGCCTATTCTGGGGGAATCCAGAGAGCCCATGCATCCCTCTACCTTTCCATGCAACCTGCACACAAAGCATGTCTATCGGGAGTCACGGGGAAAATCATTCCTGGGAGAATATCTAGGGCATCATAAACCAGAACAGAGCTGGAGGGGGATAAGATGCTGCTAGATTGAAAGAATGTAATTATTTTCTTTCACCACTTCTCATTTTAATCTCATTTCTAATATAACTCAAAGGTGCTTTGATTTTAAAATGATTTTTCTGCTGTCAGAATTAGCATTTTTCACTAGTCCTAGGAGACATTCCAGAGGAGAACGGCATTTTTATTTTCCTTTTCTCCCCCCATGATTTCACAAAGGCTTCTCATGCATCGCTGGACTGTATTACAAAGTTAGGGGATTTTTTTCCCTCTCCTCAAAGGAAGATCATTGAGGCTGCAAGTAACCCTGGTAGCTGCTAGGAGATGGAATTCTTCAGGCTAAAACTGCATGTTGCACAAATAACTGGCAAAAAGAGGAATGCAGGGCAGCACTTGAGTCCTCCACAGGAGCAGAAAAGATGCAGGAGTGACCCTGCAGAAAATATTGGGATAAAAAAAGGACAGTTTTTTGTTTTTCTTAGCCATAAACTAAATATCAGTGTTTGACAAGTCTCTAAAATGCACCAGTTGCTATTCATTCTATTTACTTCATAAGTATTTATTAAGGGCTACGTGTTTTGTTTGTTTGGTTCTTAGGAGTCAGAACTTGGCCTCAGGCAGACCTGGGTTCTCACACTTAATTACCTTAGAGGCCCCAAAACAGTTACTTAGCCTTGCTGAATCTCAGTGTTTTCATCTGTAAAATGGGTGTTTTGTGCCCATCTCAGGGGACTATTTTCAGGATTAAAAAGCTCAGTGCCTAGCACATAGTACAAGCACCCCATAAATCATCTTCATCATCATTGTGGTCACTGTCTTGTCTCTGAAGACTTTAAAAGGATCTTTTATAACTTAAATGAAGCAAATGAAGAAAGCATCCAAACATATTTATTTGCTGCCAAATTCTTTTCTAGCTGCTGGAGATAAACAGCTCCTTTGTAGAGGGTAGACAATGAAGGTGGAGGGGAGGATAGGATGAAAGGGGTCCTCAGCCCTGGTTGCACATTTGAATCACCTGGAAAGATTTTGCAAAACCAAGTCCCACCTGTTTGCATGGAATAGCACCTAGGCATTGTTTTTCGTGGTGTTGTTTTCAATTCCCAGGTGATTCTAATGTACAATCAGGGTTAAAAAACACTAACTTAGAAGCTGTCACCATTATCCAAGTGAGAGATGCTGGTAGCTTTTATCAGAGTGATAGAAGTGGAGATGCTCAGAGATGGTCATAGTCAGGACACGTATTAGAGGTAGAAGCAAATCAACCTGCTAATGGATTGAAAGTGATGAGGATGGGTGGGGAGACAAAGAGGAATCAGGAACCCCCTAGTTTGGGACGACAGTACAGATGATGATTCCATTTCCCAGGATGGAGAAAATGAAGGGAATACAGGCTGGGGAATGGAAACCATAGAGCTGAAGACTGGCACAAAAATACTGACCATGTTATGTATGAGATGCTTATTGGACATATATTAATATAACATTAACCTAATTTGTAAGTGGACGAATCCAGCAGGCAGTTGATTTGCAAAGAAGCCAGAACACTAAATGTCATGTGTCTGAGCACTGCCAAAAAAAACTTTCTGTGAAGATGAAAATACTCTAAATCTGCACTGTCCAATACAGCAGCCACCAGCCACGTGTGCGTATTGAGCATCTCAAATCAGGTTAGGCTGGTGTGGCTGAGGAACTGAATTTTAATTTTATTTTATTTTAATTGGCTTAAATTTAAATAGCCATATGTGGCAGGTGGCTATCCTATTTGACAAATTAGGTATGTATTGATGATTCCCATCTTTATGTATTTGGCCTGAACTACTTCTTTCAGAATCTGACTTCTCACCACTTGCCCTAGTAACAGGTCAAAGCCACTATCATCTGCAGTCTAGAGTATTGCAACAGCCTCCTACTGTTTACAATGTCCTCCGCCCACTCTTGTCACTTCTATTATATATTCTCAAAACAGCAGCCAAAATGATCTTCACAACCTGATGTTCATTTATCATGAAAATCATACCAGGTATTTCCTCTACTTAAAGCCATATAATGACTCCCCATCTTGACACAGTAAAACCCAAAGTCCTTCCAATAGTCCACAAAAAAGCCCCCTCTTTGTCTCTCTAACACTGCTTCACACTTTTCTGTTCCTACTGTAGCAGTTTTCACCATCTGTTGTACTGTATAATTAACTCAGTTATTTTATTTATTGTCCGTCTCCGTCTTAGTAGAAAGTAGTCTCCCTTAGGGTGGGGATTTATGACTATTTTGTTTACTATTTTATCCTCTGGTACCAAAAACACGGTACCCTGATACATATTAGGCACTCAGTACACACTTATTGAATGACTGAGGCAGCATATAGATAATAGATACTCAGCCAGGTTAACCAGAGAGAAAGGCTGTAGACAGAAAATAGGAGAGGCTCCAGGATTGAGCCCTGGGCCATCCAACATTCAGAACCTCACTGTCCAATATGGAAGCCCTGGGCCATCCAACATTCAGAACCTCACTGTCCAATATGGCAGCCATATGTGGCTATTTTAGAACTTTTGAAATATGCTCATCCCAACTGAGATGTACGGTTAAGTCACAGGATTTTGAAAACTTAAGTATTTATTTTTAAAAGAAGAATGCAAAGTATCTCAATTATATCGATTACTTATTGAAATTACAGTATTTGTATATATTGAATTACATATAATATTAAAATCAATTTTATTGATTTTTTACATTTTTAACATGTAAATTAAATACTAGGATACTGAATATCACATATGTGGCTCGTGTCATATTTCTATTGGACACACTGGTTTAGAGAATGGGAAGAATAGCCAGCAGGGGATTCTGTCCAGTGAGATAGGAGAAAACAGGAGGCAAGCGTGGTGCATAAAAGATTACAGAAATAATTGTTTCATATAGGAGAGAACAGCTAAACAGATTGAATGAATGAGATACAGATGGAGAACTGACCAAGGGATTTGCCAAAATGAAGATTATTCTTAGTCTTGACAAGAGTGGTTTCAGTGAAGTTGTGTGGATGGGAGCCCTACTGGAGAGGGTTTGAAGTCAGTATGAAAAGTGAAGACGTAGAGACAACCAACATAGACAACCCAATCAAAAATGTTTTGCTCTGAGAAGTTGTGGTTGCTGGAGGTAAACAGAGGAAAAAAAATTTAATGGGAGATATTTTTTAAGAATATTTGACAACTGAAGGAAATGATCCAGGAGAGAGAAACCTGAATTGGAAAATCTTGGCTAACTACATATAATATAGAAACACGGCACTTTAAAACTGAACAGGCCCTTGAAGATCATCTTCGACAAACATTTTGCATTACGGCTAAGAATTCTGAGGTTCATACAGGTGAATGATCAATGTCATACATCACAGCTGAAACCAGAATCAGAAATAACATCTACAAATGAACACTTGCTTGAATTGAGTTCATTTCTGCAGAGACAAACATTTTCAAATTCTAATATATTTGACCCACTTTTTGCCTTATAAAGCACGATATTTCCATAATTTCTAGTGGTTCATTAAGAGCTAACATTAAGTGCAGTGGTGCAATCTCGGCTCACTGCAACCTCTGCCTCCTGGGTTGAAGTGATTCTCCTGCCTCAGCCTCCCAAGTAGCTGGGATTACAGGCACACGTCCCTATGCTCAGCTAATTTTTGTATTTTTAGTAGAGACAGGGTTTCACTATGTTGGCCAGGCTGGTCTCAAACTCCTGGCCTCAAGCAATCCACCCGCCTTGGCCTCCCAAAGTGCTGGGATTACAGGCATGAGTCACTGGCCTTATGTGTCAATTATTTTTAATTGATACATAATAATTGCACACATTTATGGGATACAGAGTGTTATTTCAATATAAGTATACAATGAGTAATAATAAAATCAGAGTAATTAGCATATACATCATTTCAAACATTTATCATTTCTTTGTGTTGAAAACATTCAAAATCTGCTCTTCTAGCTATTTGAAAATATACAATAAATTGTTAATTACTGTCACCCTATAGTACTATAGAACACTAGAACCTATTCCTTTTATCTAGCTGTGATTTTGTATTTATCAACCAACTTTTGGCTATCCCTCACTTCCCAGCCTCTAGTAAGCACTGTTCTACTCTCTACTTCTATAAAATAAACTTTTTTTAGCTTCTGTATAAGATTAAGAATATGCAATATTTGTTGTTCTGTGCCTGGCTTATTTCACTTAATGTAATGTCCTCCAAGCTCGTCCATGTTGCATTGAATGACAGGATTTTGTTCTTATTTATGACTGAATAGTATTCCATTGTGTACATTTACATACCACATTTTCTTTATCCATTCATCCATTCATGCACACAGGTTGATTTCATGTCTTGGCTATTGTGAGTAGTGCTACAATAAACATGGAAGTGTATATATCTCTTTGATATATTGATTTCCTTTACTTTGGATATATACCCAGTAGTTGGATTGCTGGATCATGTGATAGTTCTATCTGAAGTTTTTGAGGAAACTTCATACTGTTTTCCATAATAATTGTATTAATTCACATCCCCACCAACAGTGTATGACAGTTTTCCCTTCTCTGCATTCTTGGTTAATTTTTTTCTTTTTGGTAATAGCCATTCTAAGTAGGATGAGATGATATTTCATTGTAGTTCTGATTTGCATTTTCCTGATGATTAGCAATGTCAAGGACTTTTTCATATACCTGTTGGCCATTTGGTTTTTTTTTTGTTTGTTTCTTTGTTTTTTGTTTTTTTGAGGCAGAGTCTCCCTCTGTCACCCAGGCTGGAGTATAGTGGCACAATCTTGGCTCACTGCAACCTCCACCTCCCGAGTTCAAGCAGTTCAGCCTCCTGAGTAGCTCGGACTACAGGCACATGCCACCACACCCAGCTAATTTTTGTATTTTTTGTAGAGACAGGGTGTCACCATATTAGTCAGGCTGGTCTCGAACTCCTGACCTCAGGTGATCCACCTGCCTTGGCCTCCCAAAGTGCTGGGATTACAGGCAAGAGCCACCGTGCCCGGCCCTTTTGGCCATTTGTATATCTTCTTTTGAGAAATGTCTCCTCATTTGCCCATTTTCTTATAGTCTGGATAATTCCCATGTTAGATGCAGTAAATTTGGTTTTCTGCTTATCCTGAGGTCAAAAAAACATGTTTATCCAAACCCTATTGAAAATCTTTAAATGTCTTGTTTTCCTTTCCTTACCATGTAGGAAATTGAACATAATTTGATATTTTTAATGAGTCAATATTTTTCAGTGCCTCAGAGCATCACGTTCAATAAAATTTCACTATATATCTAGCACTTCAGGTGTAGATATATAGTGAATATAGGGAGGGATATTTTACATTGTTTATTTCTATAAACTTCATAGTATAATACCATACTTATTTTATTTGATTTTTTTTCTCAAAAAGGTGAGGTAGAATACAGTGTCAGGTAAGGAGGTTACCTGTTAATTCAAGTCTTACCACCTTTTTTCTATCTCTTGAACACTAAAATGATACAATACTGCTAACTCATCAAAATACAACATCTGTTAAGGGGTTTGGGTTTGCGGTTTTGTTTTTGTTGTTGTTACATTGCTGATGTGTTTGTGGTGATTTTTCCACATCCCTCACTTAGAAATTGTTATGAACAGTAATACATCTTCACAAGATGACTACGCTGAGTTGAGTCATTCTGTGGCCACAAAGAGGCATGCTTTCACATACAAGTGGACTCAGATGAATTACTTGGTATCACAGAAGAAAGATATATGTGAACTTGACCACATACCTTTTTTCCACTCTAGTTCCACATCAGTACCGATCCTTCCCCAGTCCAAGGCTGATCCTTATATCACACCTTATTTGTTTTCTCACAGTACACACTAGCTCAGGTCTCACCAGCTATAAACTTTCCTTACCCCTTCCTTACTGCATATCTTCCTTTTGCTACCACACCTCTGGAAAAAAGTACTTTGCATCCACTGTCTCTGATTCCTCCTAATTTTCCATGTAGAGACCCTTCTCAGTCTTTATTTTTCTTAATTTCCCAGGGGTCTCTGACATAGTTGAATCTTTCATCTGGAAACTAACTCTCTAACTCTCTTCTCTAAACTACCATTTTACCTTTTCCTTTTTCCCTCTTTTTTTTTTTTTTTTTTTTTTTTTTTTGGAGACAGAGTCTTGCTCTGTCACCAGGCTGGAGTGCAGTGGCGCGATCTCAGCTCATTGCAAACTCCACCTACTGGGTTCAAGCGATTCTCTTGCCTCAGCCTCCCTAGTAGCTGGGATTACAGGCATGTGCCACCACGCCTGGCTAATTTTGTATTTTTAGTAGAGACGGGGTTTCTCCATGTTGGTCAGGCTAGTCTCAAACTCCCGACCTCAGGTGATCCGCCCTCCTTGGCCTCCCAAAGTGCTGGGATTACAGGCATGAGCCACTGCGCCTGGCCAATTTTTTGTATTTTTAGTAGAGACGGGGTTTCGCCATGTTGGCTAAGATGGGTTTCGACCTCTTGACCTTGTGATCTGCCCGCCTCGGCCTCCCAAAGTGCTGGGATTACAGGCATGAGCCACCGTGCGTGGCCAACCTTTTCCTCTCTTTTCTCCTCCTTCCCCTCTGCCCACTTCTTGGTCTCCCTCACTAGTTCTTCCCTGTGTGCTGCCTGAAGATCTGTCTTCCCAGAGTTTCAACCTCAGGCCTCTCCTCCCCTTCTTCTACTCTCTGTGAGTTATTTCATCCACTTCCCAAGCCCTAATTACCACCAATACCCTGAACTCAGAAGTTTCTTGAGCTCCAAGTGCATATATTTAGTAATCTCTGGGCATCTCTACCTGGATGTCCTGGGAGTTACCTCAAAATTACTACATCTCAAATCAAACCCATTGGCCAAGCTGTTTCCTCATGAATTACTGGAACCAACCAGTTACCTAGTCACCCAAGCCAGAAATCTCATAGTTCCTTTCAATCCTGCTTTCCCTTCAACTCCTGCAGTCAACTGATTTTACCTTAAGAACTGATAACAATCTGCAGATTTATATTTATGTTTTTATACATTTATATATTTGTAAAAATACACTTTTCCTCAAATCTGGTATGTGGCGTTCGTTTAGATGGTCACCCTTTTCTTCTGGTTTTCCTCTTTCCAGTTGTTCAATAGGGAGTTGCTCCTCCTTTCCCATCCTGCACATTGTTTCCAGGCTCATCTTTCCAAAACTCCAGAACACAAATTTGAACTATTATTGCTCTTCCTGAAAACTTTTGTGGGCCACCTTCCCCACCCCCACCATGGAATAACGTTCAGAATATTTGTCAGAGCACGTCATGTCCTCACATCTCGCTTTAGCCTGCCAACCCCAATGCCTCTGCACATGCTCCTACCACAATGCTCACTCTCCCTGCCCGACACACCCCTGGCTACCTCCCCACCTGGAGCTCCTACTCCACCTTCCAGACATCTGGTCAAAACCTCTTTTATAGCATTCATTACAATGCATTATAATTATTAGTTTGCACGTCTCCCATGACATTGTCTTGTCATTATTAAATGACATAAGCTGCTTAAAAAACAGGGAGCCTGTTTTTCTCACTGTTGTATTTACACCGTATAGCATCATACTTGGTTGGTGTAAGATGTGTTGGACTTGAATGACTTAGTGGTGTACTCTGTCTCAGTGAGAGAACCGATCTGGTCTAATGAGCTAATCTTCATTGCCTACCCTGTTGACAGGTTTCCTCCCAGACACAAGAGACAGGTGATTTCTGCCTTCAGACACAGTGTGTCTTCCTGATTTGTGACAAGAGGAACAGCCCCCCGTTTTCTTCATTCTTCCCAGGAGAATAAATTGCATTACACAACTGTGGGGTCGACATGCTTTATCAAGGGCATACTTTGTTGATCTGTTCCAATCTTCCTTGTCTCTCCTGTTCGTTCTCTGAGCCTGTCAGCCCTTTTTCAAAAGTGAAAACACCACAAAACATTTCTGTAATAACATGGTGTATATTATCACATTAGCTACAGTTATAATAAAAGTGGCTACATAATCAGATTATACTTTCCTCATAGCCATAGGAATAATGGTGCTTTATCAGGAAATGTGTATAACCAAATGGAAACTCACTAATGCAACAGGAAATTATCAAACATAATATAATTCAGGAGTCTCAAACTGCTAGTGTCTCAGTAGGTATAGGGGAAAAAAAATCTATTTTACTGTAATGAAACTCTTAAAAGAGACCTGCTTATTACTTTTGTAAAAAGTGCTCAGCATATGTTTTCTCCTTATGCAATGATTTCTTGTTTTGTTTTGTTTTTACTTGAATGCTATTTGTGAATTTTTGTTGAATATCGGAAGAATACAAAAATTATCAGTGGTTAAGGTAAAAAGTCATTCAATTTTTAAAAATATGGACTCATACTTTCAAACTGCTAAGAAGGTTTCCAAACAGCTTCTGTAAGTATAATCCACATAACAAAATATCAGTACCCTATGTATTGTGAAAAGTGACAAGCTTTCTACTTGTGTGCACAAACAGATAAGCAAGACGATACATAGCACGTCATTTAGCCAGTGCTCAAATTCTACCCAAAAATTAACTTTGATTTACATCCAAAACCATAAACAAATATACAAAATCTATGTAGTTGCGATTTTTGCCTTTGCTAAACACTTGTTTCATGATAGCCATAGTATCAAATTCAAATAAAAAATTAAATGACTTTTCTGCTTCATAATAAATCAAACTCTTGCTGGAATTTAAAGGAAGTACAAAGAGTTTATTTTACATTCTCGAAAAAATTCTCCACTAGTCCAGGATTAGGGAAAGAGAGACTAAATCAAGGGACAAGGCAGAAATTCAGTCCAAAGACATATTTCCTATGCCATCTCTATGTATGTGCATATGTATATACATGTTGATAGATGGTATATATATGTAATAGCTGTATAGATGGATACCTATTAATACAATATATACATAAATATGTCTATATTAATATCACATATAAATATTTATACATAAATAGAATATATTTTATATACTAGTAATATGTGTTAATTATTTTATATTAATAATTATAATTATTGATTATAAATGTGTTATTATAGTTGATAAAGGTGATATATTAGTGTATATTATAAATGTGGTATATATACTACGTAATATACAATATGTATATATTGGATAATATTATGTGCATAATGAGTAAGTGGCGATCTCCCACACTGGGAACTCTGAAGGAGAGAAGTTTGTTTAAATGAGCTCTTCAGTGGCCTACTCTACTGAGGTGCAGACCTCTTCTGACCTGAATTTCCAACCTATGAGAACATAGGTTTCAACAACTGAAGCCATGTGAAGGCACTTAGGATAGACTGGAAATACTCATTTCCACCACTTGGGCCTTTTGGCTATTTTGTTTCCTATCCTGTCTTGTTTCCTACCAGAACATCTCTGCTTTTCAGTCTCAGTATCTGATTTGACCTTGGGGGGCTGCAGCCATGTGAACCAGCCCAGCAGCCACCCTTCCACTGATGGCACAGCTGTTCTCCCCTCCAACATCTAAATGTAGCACAAAAGGAGAATGAGATTTGGTAACAATAAAACCAGATACATTGGTTTATAGTTTTAAAAATCATGCTATTCCATGGCAATCATTAAAAAGTCAGGAAACAACAGGTGCTGGAGAGGATGTGGAGAAATAGGAACACTTTTACACTGTTGGTGGGACTGTAAACTAGTTCACCCATTGTGGAAGTCAGTGTGGCGATTCCTCAGGGATCTAGAACTAGAAATACCATTTGACCCAGCCATCCCATTACTGGGTATATACCCAAAGGACTATAGATCATGCTGTTGTGAAGACACATGCACACATATGTTTATTGAGGCATTATTCACAATAGCAAAGACTTGGAACCAACCCAAATGTCCAACAATGATAGACTGGATTAAGAAAATGTGGCACATATACACCATGGAATACTATGCAGCCATGAAAAATGATGAGTTCATGTCCTTTGTAGGGACATGGATGAAATTGGAAATCATCATTCTCAGTAAACTATCGCAAGAACAAAAAACCAAACACCGCATATTCTCACTCATAGGTGGGAATTGAACAATATCACATGGACACAGGAAGGGGAATATCACACTCTGGGGACTGTTGTGGGGTGGGGGGAGGGGGGAGGGATAGCATCGGGAGATATACCTAATGCTAGATGACGAGTTAGTGGGTGCAGTGCACCAGCATGGCACATGTATACATATGTAACTAACCTGCACAATGTGCACATGCACCCTAAAACTTAAAGTTAATTAAAAAAAAAATCATGCTATTCCAAACAACTTTACTGTGTCATTCCACATGGCAACTTGGAGATTGGTGGGGGTGTCTGGAGACTATAGGGAGAAATAAGAGCCAATGTAGGATGGGGACAGGTGGTGTTATAGGATGGCGACAGGTGGTATTAATTGAAAATTATATATCAAGGAAAAAATCATCTTGGTCTGTAGTTTGAGAACAAAGCCAAAGGAATAAACAAACACCGCAGGAAGTGTCTTTGTATATGCAGAATCAAGATAGAAAACCAGTTTTCTATCCTTCAGAACAAACCCTTTATCCTCGTAGACGGGAAGTAATCAAGATTCCGTAAACATCTCCAACGTCTCCAACAGTTCCTGACTACCCAGCTTCTTCTCTTTTGTCACTAGTTACCATTGCCTTGGTCATTTCAATGCATTTCTGTCCAGATTTGGACTCCCTGCCTTCCTTTACGCAATTGATGATACTGTTTCTCAGAGCACTGTAGCCCCTACAAGCCAGATCTTGGTAGAGGACCCCCATGTCGGGGAGGCCACACAATAAATGTGGAGCAGAGAAGTCACACGGAAACTCACGCAAGTTACATTACGCTTAAATATCCTGATTTGATGAGGTACAGATTTGTAATGAATCGTCACCCCCTTAATAATATTGGCTTTGGCCGGGCGCAGTGGCTCA
Organism: Homo sapiens; assembly: GCF_000001405.40. NCBI lineage: Eukaryota > Metazoa > Chordata > Mammalia > Primates > Hominidae > Homo > Homo sapiens. The sequence goes on from NC_000006.12 coordinate 19,703,414, forward strand.
CGCCTGTAATCCCTGCACTTTGGGAGGCCGAGGTGGGTGGATCATGAGGTCAGGAGATCAAGACAACCCTGGCTAACACAGTGAAACCCCGTCTCCACTAAAAATACAAAAAATTAGCTGGGTGTGGTGGCGGGCGCCTGTAGTCCCAGCTACTCGGGAGGCTGAGGCAGGAGAATGGCGTGAACCCAGGAGGCAGAGCTTGCAGTGAGCCGAGATCGCACCACTGCACTCCAGCCTGGATGACAGAGAGAGACTCTGTCTCAAAGAAAAATAAATAAATAAATAATGATAATAATAATACTGGCTTTTTATATCTCAAGCCCAGAATTTAAAAAGTCTTGTATTAGAACCATTCAGTTAAGGTTACAGGAGGACAAGTCACAAAGACACAGACTTCATTTGTCCTGTCTTTTTGTATTTTGTGCATCAAAAAATCCTTAAGCACAGAAATCACTCTGAAAATGCTCTGCCTGGCTATCAATGGCCCAGAGATTCAGAGTAAAGGCTCTGCTACCATAATGCTTCTGTCTGATCCCTGGCTCATGCATTTTAAAGGGGCCGGACCTTGGCATTTAATTTAAACTCTGTATACTTTAACCTCCTCATCTGGAAATGAGGGGTAGTAGTCATAATAATAATAGCCATATGGACTTATTATGAATATTAAATAAGACAATATGTGTGATGCGCTTGGTACAGTGCAGGGCATGAAGTAGTAAATGTTGGTTTTTATGACTTAAATAATGTATTGCTGGTAATAATGATCACTATTGTTCATTCACAATTAATATTAAGAATAAATATGTTATTTATTCTTTATATTGTCAAATATGTTTTGCTTAAAGTTTAGTATTATTGCTAAAATATGTAGCAGTCTTTGTGTTATTTCAGCTATCACAAAGAATATATTTTGTATAATCATTCTAAGGAAACAATGGGCCGGGCGCGGTGGCTCAGGCCTGTAATCCTAGCACTTTGGGAGGCCGAGGCGGGTGGATTACCTGAGGTCAGGAGTTCGAGACCAGCCTGGCCAACATGGTGAAACCCAATCTCTACTAAAAAGACAACAAATTAGCCAGGCGTGGTGGCGGACACCTGTAATCCCAGTTACTTGAGAGCCTGAGGCAGGAGAATCACTTGAACCCGGGAGGCGGAGGTTGCAGTGAGCCGAGATCGCGCAACTACATTCCAGCCTGGGCAACAAGAGCGAAACTCCATCTCAGAAAAAAAAGGAAACAAAAACATGAATAACTTCCAGACATAAGCCTATGGATGCCAAACAGCTTCATAGAGTCACATATGGCTGCAATGATTTCCCATCGTTTCTCCTGTCTCTGCTCCACTATGAAAATCTTGTCAATTAACCTATATCATGTCTAAACCCAAGGTATCCCTGGTCACCTAGGATCTTTAATCACTGTGGTTCAAAGTAAGCACAGGCTTCTGAGACAGAAGAAATACTAGCTTTTGCTTTTTGAAACCCAGAAGTGCATTTCTCTACTTCCACAGAGAAATGGTCCCAAATGTAGCAGGAAGAACACGGACTGCACCAGGACTGTGGATGGACCTGGAGGGGACAAGCTGGTGGTAGAGTGAGGATGCTGAACATATGGGAAAGTGCCCTAGAGTCCGAGGCTTTCAGCAGGTCTCTCCTTGAGAGATGGGGCCATAGTTGGGGAGAGAAACTGGAGGAAATTTTATATAGAACTTAGAGTAGGCAAAAAAGCATGATGTTATTAGAGGTTAGACCCTTCAGTTGAATAGATTCTACAGTAGACACAGGCTCTGATTTAAAAAAAAAATGGACATATAGGAGTATTCATTGCACGCTAAGTTAGTTTTAAAATGTGACTGAGGCCAGGTGCGGTGGCTCATGCCTGTAATCCTAGCACTTTGGGGAGGCCAAGGTGGGTGGATCACCTGAGGCCAGGAGTTCAAGACCAGCCTGGCCAACATGCCGAAACATGTCTTTACTAAAAATACAAAACATTAGGCTGGGCTTGGTGGTGGGCGCCTATAATCCCAGCTATTCGGCTGAGGCAGGAGAATAGCTGCAACCTGGGAGGCAGAGGCAGCAGTGAGCTGAGATCGGCCCATGGCCCTCCAGCCTGGGCAACAGAGCGAGACTCTATCTCAAAAAAAATAAAATAAAATAAAATAAAATAAAATAAAATAAAATAAAAAGTGACTAAGTAGAAACAGTTAGGTCTTGGCCCCAAATTTGGGGCACCTTGTCACGCAGATTCTCTGACCTGAATATTAGATGCTCTGTTCTTTCCTAGATGAGTCTGGAAGCAATTGCATAGACAACCATTTTAGTCATATAACTTCATTCTTAGAAGATTCTTAACCAGTAACTGAGAATAAGTTTTGTTTCTATTTAAAGATGGTGAGAGTAATTACTGAATCATAATGCTGAGACATCCTGTTTGGCATCAAACGCTCTACCGATGCCAAACAGACTTTTCTTTCCTTACTTGAAGGAGAATGCCAGTAGGCCTTTGTGTCACCTATCGGGAGTTCTCCTGTTCGTCATCATTCTGAATTACCTTAATTACACATTTAAAAATCAAACTCATGTCCACAGTATGAGTATCGGCAGACTCTATACATTGCCATGATCCTTCTACTGTAATTTTTATTAAGAACAACTGTGGCTCTCTATTCAAGGGATTCCCAAGATTTTACGGTTCTTTTGTTTGGAGAGAGAAAAACAGAAGTCAAAGATCAGAGAAGCCTTCATGAAATTGATGGACTAATAACGGACAGCTTAGCATGCATGCTAGCATGTAACTTTCACCACCTCATTCCCTATCCCACACTTTTCAATCACAAAGTAAGTTCTAGTGTTGTGACTCCATTCTTGTCTCTTTGTGCTACATGTGAAAATTTGGGGAAACATGTTGGTTACTCTGTAAAAGCCTTTAGCCGATTTACTTCCATTTGATCCCATGAGTTTGGAGAGTGAACCTCACTAAACCCTAAAGGGGGCTTTCCTGTTTCATGACACCAGCCGTGAGACTATCTCAGTCTTAGCAAATGTACGAAGTCTCCAAATGCTCATCAACTTCCTTAAATGCTGTTAAAGAACTGTCCCTCCAGAAAGGGTTTGGAGTATATTGGTTGGTGAATTATGAGTCCAGAGGTAGACCCATGTAAATAAATTTGATCCTAGCACATCTCACGTCTTTCTTTTTTAGACAATGCTGTACCTAGTGCCATTGAGTGAGTGTGTTAGGTTTTCCTCATTACCAACATTTACTTGGCATTTTCAGAAATTTCTGATGGCTGTGGCTGAGTTTTCCAGTCCCAAGGGACACAGCATTTTTCTTCCATATCTTACTTCACTGGCCCCAGGTGTGTCAAAGTCGTAAGTAAAAACTAGGGCACAATATTTTGATGTCCATGGAATCTGAAAGGGTGGAAGCCATGGTACAGTCAAACAGATCCCCATAGAAATGATCTATTCATAACTAAGAAAGGAAGACTATCACTGCATAGACGGGGGTTACCAGAAGTCATCATCATTCTTTCATTCAACAGACATTTATTTATTTGTTTGTTTGAGACAGAGTCTCACTTTGTCACCCAGGCTGTGTACAGTGGCGTGATCTCAGCTCACTGCAACATCCACCTCCTGGGATCAAGCAATTCTCCTGTGTCTGGGATTACAGGCACCTGTCACCAAGCCTGGCTAATTTTTATATTTTTAGTAGAGATGGGGTTTTGCCATGTTGGCCAGGCTGCTCTTGAACTCCTGACCTCAGGTAATCCACCTGCCTTGGCCTCCCAAAGAGCTGGGATTACAGGCAAGAACCACTACGCCTTGGACACAGGGTGGGGAACATCACACACCAGGGCATGTTGTGGGGTGGGGGTAGGGGGGAGGGATAGCATTAGGAGATATACCTAATGTAAATGACGAGTTAATGGGTGCAGCACACCAACATGGCACATGTATGCATATGTAACAAACCTGCACATTGTGCACATGTACCCTAGAACTTAAAGTACAGAAAAAAAAAAAAGAGCCACCATGCTTATTGAGTCACATTTATTGAGCATCTACTATGATTGAGGCACTGTGGGAGATATAAATATAAATACGAAACAGTCTACTTTTAAGGAAAAACTTATGAATGACTAGCATGTACCATATTTTATATTCATTATTCTAATTCATACTTACAACAGCATTTTGAGCTTGGAAATAATTATCCCCGTTTGATAGATAAAGAAACTGAGGCTCAAAGAATATAATTCGTTTGCTCAAACAAGATCTGACAGTTGGTAAGTAGCAGACAGAGAACTGTCTGACTCCACAATATAAAGTTACCTTAATGTGAATGAAAAGACAGTTACTGCGATAAGTAGAAATCAAGGAAATACGTGATATGTCCAAGAGAAGAAAAAATAAAATCTTATAGGATTTCAGAGGAAACAGGTAAGAGCCAGACCCCACAAAAAATGAGCCCCGGCTCATCTGCTGATTGGCATAGAGCAAAACTGTCTTAGAAATACATTGGAATGTAGCGTTGCATTTACATAGATTAAAAGTTTGGGGAGAAGACAGTTCACATCTTTATGCATGGATACTGTCACACATTGGTGAATCGGTCCCCAAAATCCCCTGTCAGGAGACCAGCTGGGACTCAGTGGGGAAAAGGCCAGTAAGGACCTCTTCACCCCTAGATCATTTTCTGAAGTAGGAGCCAATCCTGTTTTCCCCTTCTGGAAAACTGATATCCACAAATTTGAAGTATAAATATCCATTTTCCACCCCAGTTGGAGCAATTATTGGCATTAAGTACTGGCTTATCTGCTGGATCTGTGAAAGAAAATAGGCACACTATAAGAATATAATGAAATAAAATCACTTTTTCCACATTTGGTAGCAAACTTGAATTACTTTACATTTCTTGTACTCCATTTCTCATGTCTGAGCTCAAAATAATACAGTAATAAAAACACATTTTATATAGTACATCACAGTACAATAGAGTACATTTGTTCTCCACAATTCCCCTGAGATAAATAAGAATTCATCTCCCCATATTAGAGATGAGAAAAATAGTTCAAAGAGCTTATGATTCCAAGGTTCAGAAAAAGTGTCTTTCTAGGATTACAGAGCCAGTAAGTGCAAAGCTAGACCTGTGGGCCAGACCATCCAGGATGCTCCTTTCTAGACATGATGTGGTCTCACAATACATATGGAATTTACTCTCTACTTTTCATCATCAACGGTGACACTTCAAGAAAGTGATTGCTTGGCCAGGTGCGGTGGCTCACACCTGTAATCCCAGCACTTTGGGAGGCTGAGGCTGGCAGATCACCTGAGGTCGGGAGTTCAAGACCAGCCTGACAAACATGGAGAAACCCCGTCTCTATTAAAAATACAAAATCAGCTAGACGTGGTGGTGCATGCCTGTAATCCCAGCTACTCGGGAAGCTGAGGCAGGAGAATCCCTTGAACCTGGGAGGCGGAGGTTGCAGTAAACCGAGATCGTGCCATTGCACTCCAGCATGGGCAACAAGAGCGAAACTCCGTCTCAAAAAAAAAAAAAGAAAGAAAGAGATTGCTCTTGCCAACTTTCCCCTAAGCAAAAGTCACACTAATTCACATATATCTCAGCATTTTTACCTTCAGTATGAAAGCCCCATACTTTACACAAAACTACATCTATATTGCTGAAATTCTAATATAGCTTCGTGCTACTTTCTAGCATTGCAGAAGACTTTAAATCTTTTTCGCTCTGTCTACCCTAGATAACCATATGTAGGAAATGACACAAATGAATGGAAGAATTCCACGCACATCTAGACACAGGAATGGGTTATGATTTCAGTAATAAGCTTAGTTACAAAGCTGATCCAAAACAATCATTTAAGCAAAGCTTAGTTCATTTGAGTAAAACACAAATTAAACAATAAGTTTTCCAAACAAGATCTGAAATAATCGGCATCTCCACAGTTCCCAGGAGAAGCAAACAGGCAGGTAAAGAACCTGTGTATACATTTGCATCTGCAAATAAGGACAACTGGATATAGCAAATCTCAGTTTTAAAAAATGTTCTTTATATAATCAGTTTTTAAATGTTTTATTTTCTTATTTACAGAACTCAAATACAACAAAACCACTGACCATATTTCAGGAACATGAAAATTATACAATGAAAAATAATTATGAAGATTTAATACTATTAAAAACATAGACATTTTTCCATGTGAACACATTCATGCTGTGAGCATGGACAGTTTACAAAGAGTCATTTCCACTCCACCTCACTCTTGCCCAATTACTTTTTGGGAAAATATTTATAATATATTTTCAAGATATTGGGTATGCACACTTCACTTAACCTGATGATATGTGTTGGGTTTAATAATGTGTTACCAAGTCATAACCTTATCATTTGGAGATAGTCTAGAGAGGCAGTCAAAATGGCCAAGTTTATGCAAAGTTGCAGAAACGAAAGACCAAATTGAATAAAAAGAAAATAACTGGCCGGGTGCGGTGGCTCACACCTGTAATCCCAGCACTTTGGGAGGCTGAGGTGGGCGGATCATGAGGTCAGGAGTTCAAGACCAGCCTGGCCAACATGGTGAAACCTCATCTCTACAAAAAATACAAAAAAAAAATTAGCCAGGCATGGTGGCTGTCACCTGTAATCTTAGCTACTCGGGAGGCTGAGGCAGAGAATTGCTTGAACCTTGGAGGTAGAGTTTGTAGTGAGCCGAGATCGTGCCATTGCCCTCCAGCCTGGGCAACAGAGCAAGACTCCGTCTCAAAAAACAAACAAACAAACAAAAAAACTAAAAAAAAAAAAAACCAACCCACCAAAAACCTAATCATTTTGGTCCCTCTTCCTTTTGCTTCAGGATTCTTTTTGCAAGTGCTACTAGAATCCTGCTCCCAGCTATCTAATCCTGGGCCTTTGCAGATCCACAGTGGCGTGAGAACCTTAGGTTATAATAATAAGATTTGAACACCACATTCAGCACTTCCTAAGATTCAGGGACTGGGCAGTCTTTTCACCTACATACAACCTTGCATGTAGCAAATAACATAAAACCCAGTTTGAGAGGGAGCATGTCTGGAATGCAACGATGTTTCATGGAAAATGGGGTACAGACATAATTCCCCCTGAATACAGTTCATCAGTGCTTTCCACAAAAGTGAGCTTTGATGAGATATCTAGTACCTAGGAAATACAAAATATAATATGAATTTATTGGGTTGTTCAACACTCCCCCAACGTTTCACAGTTTTTAATCATTCATAATCTGAACCATTTACTCTAAGAGTTTGTGATTTGACATTCTCATTGCCATCTTGTTATTACGAAATAAATGGAAAATCTAAAACCAAATGTATATAAATAGGTTACTTTATGCTTTAATTCATGGAAAATAGTTTTTAAGTCTTTTTTATTATTTTAAGAAACGAACTAAAAGTAATCAAGAAGAATCAAAATATTGGATGTAACTGTCTAACTTCTGTATCTGTTTATTTATCTATAAAATAGGATTGACAATGTTGTCCTAAACTTACAGAGGAATATAAATGTAATAAGCCTTTTAAATCTCTGCTTTGTAAACCACAGAGAAAAAGGCACTATGTAAATATTGTTATCTTTGTGCCTCATTATCTGAGCTAATGATAACTGTAGAAAAGTTAGGTCAAATAACATTAAATGGACACTAGAATAAAACTTCAGTTTCAATGTGTTGTTTTACCATTTACATTGACAAGTGAGGATAAAAAAAGAGCATGAAGGAAATATAGCAAACACTTTGATTAGATTATGTCACCAAAATTCCAATGTAGAAATAATATCTAAAATAACAGCAGTTTCTGTTTCTGCCAACTTCTAAAATAAAAACCAACTCAGATTCAGCGTATCAGTGGAAATTAAAATAATACATTTTAAAAAATTCTCTAACCTGCTTCTAAAAATCATAACACAATTCTGATAATTGACCAATAGCATCATTTTGAGCTACTTAATTACACATCATTAGCAAGAGTAAAAATGCCAAGAAGCTCATATTGACATGGTTTCCATTTTTGGGAAATGGTCAAGTGATTCTTATGCAGGCATAGCTTACTCTGTGACTCAGAGGCACAGTTTTTACAGAGAACCAGAAAGGTTCTATGACTGGTACGAAACATTGAGCAGAAGGAGAATGGGGCCCACATATTACTACCCTCCACTTAATGTTTCATTTTTTGCACATTTATTTTGAACAAGCCTTAAGTCTCTTAGCCCATGTATCTGAGATTTTGTGAGCCGATCTGCAAAATCCAATCTGAAGCTCATCCCAATACACAACAATAAGTGAATCCTTCAGGTATAGTGCTGTGCAATCGTTCATGCTTTACAAACTCTCATTTGCCTCCTTCAAGCCAAGGGAGTATCTTACTTATCTCTATTTTCTTCGGGCTGGTGCAAACTTTCAAAACACAGTGAGTGTTATTATTTAGTTAATAACAATAGGTCCCTAATCAGGTCCCTAATTTATTAATAAACCAGGTTTGCCTCAGGTTTGAATAACAAACAACTTTTCTAGCTCAATTTGTCATTTATTTTCTTTTTGTTTTGTCTCTCTCTCTCTCTCTCTCTCTCTCTCCCTCCCACCTCCCTTGGACTTTTATTCCATCTCTAGCTTATCCATACTTCTATCACTGTCTTATCAGCTTCAAAAGTTGTCCAAAGCCCTGTGGCTTTTTTCTCCACTGGGAAAGTGACAACCTAAGCCAGGATGCTGAGCCCTGTGTCTGCTTTCTGCTTGCTCAGCAAAGACCTTAGTTGTATTGCCAGTGCTCCTGATCACTCACTCACCTCCCAGGATGGGTTTTTTGTTTTTGGTTTTTGTTTTTTTTTTTAATTTTCACAGTCAGAAGTAGGGAAAGCTGAGTGTTAATGGTTATTTACAGTAGGGGTCCTCAACCCCCAGGCCACAGATAGTACCAGTCTGTGACCTGTTAGGAACTGGGAACCAGGCCACAGAGCAGAAGGTGAGTGGCAGGCAAGCAACTCACATATGAAGCTTCGTCTGTATTTACAGCCGCTCCCCATTGCTTGCATTACCGCCTGAGCACTGCCCCCTGTCAGATCAGTGGTGGCATTAAATTCTCAGAGGAGCGTGAACCCTATTGTGAACTACACATACAAGGGATCTAGGTTGTATGCTTCTTAGAAGAATCTAATGCCTGATAAGCTGTCACTGTCTCCCATCACCTCCAGATGGGACCATCTAGTTTCAGGAAAACAAGCTCAGGGCTCCTACTCATTCTACATTATAATGAGTTGTATAATTATTTCATTATATATTACAATGTATTAATAATAGAAATAAAGTACACAATAAATGTAATGCTCTTGAATCATCCTGAAACAATCCCCCCTCCACTGATCCATGGAAAAATTGTCTTCCACAAAACCAATCCCTGGTGCCAAAAAGGTTGGGGGCCACTGATTTACAGGGTGCATTTCCCAGTAAGACATCTTCAGGATGTTCCCATTACAATCAAAGCATTTTCCTCCACCTAAGCACTCCATCCCTTACTTGCTTATCCTTTGAAGCCAGAGATCCTACTCTTCATGTGTTCCACTGGACATTTAAGGATTTTATGAATCACTAACCCTCAGACGCCCTTAAAAATCACTCTATTTTTCAGCTCAAAACCCTGCTACACAGCCTAAGGAAGAAACAGTAAGTAAAAACCATTTTTTAAAGAGTTTATCTACTGTCATCATCAAGAATTTATTAAATGCTGACCAGGCATGATGGCTCATGTGTGTAATTCCAGCACTTTGGGAAGCTGAGGCAGGAGGATCACTGTAGTCCAGATGTTGGAGACCAGCCTGGACAACATAGTGAGATCCCTCTACTATATATATATATATATATATATATATATATATTTTTTTTTTTTTTTTTTTTTTTTTAAATTAGCTGGGCATGGTGGCACACACCTGTGGTCCCAGCTACTTGGGTGGCTGAGGTAGGAAGATCGCTTGAGCCTGAGAGGTTGAGGCTACAGTGAGCCATGATCATGCCACTGCACTACAGCCTGGGCAACAGAGCAAGACTGTCAAAAAACAAACAAAAAAGGATTGCCGTATGGAACAGTGCTTAGAGGTATTTTTAAAATTGCATCAAAACCGTAGATGGTTAACATGACCTAATACCCCACTCTCCTCAGAAGTTCAGGACAATGCAAAAGCATTGGATGAATCACCAGGAAATGTGAGTTTTAAGCCTAAATAACAAATTATCTAAGCCTAGTTTCCTCATCTGTCTACCTCCAGGAACTGTTGTGAAGAGCTGCAGGTGAAATTAATTGATAAGTGGTAAAATTTACTCACGTAAGCTTTTTATACCTTTTCATTCATACATATTTACCTTGGGAAAAGAGAGAAATGAGTAGAAGTAAAATAAAAGGGAAGGAGAGAAATGTCATAGGTGTACCAATAAATCTCTGCAAGATTTCCTTTGACATCCTTCTGTAGCAATATGGTCTACTGTCAAACAAACGTTTCTTTAAGGGACTCTCTAATCTCTACCCTAAAGCTCTCATCCTGAAATAATGTCCCAAATATCATAACCAATTTGTTTTGACCACTAAACAGGCCACTTTGTTGTTCCTACAATAAGCCAAAAATCATATTATAACCCTAATTAATACTCATGATGATGGGCAGGCACTAATCTGATATGTAATGACCAATAGTTACAAATCCTTAATAGGTAATTTTGCCATACTCAGCAGTTTTGTTATCCAAATTACTTTGCTCAAACAACGGTCACCCCATTTGGCTTTAACTCCTATGGCGTGAGACCAACCCAGCCTAATGCTTTCTTGGTGACTAGCTCTAGTTCAAGGGGCAGCATGTCCCCTAGGACATAGGAAGTCTCGGATCTACTGGAAAGACATCATCACATACTTTACTAGGAATAAGAGAAATGATGACTAGAGGCTTCAATGTCAAGTTTATTTTCTCAGGAATGGGGGTGTAGTACAGGATAGCTAGGTTTTCCAAAGCAAGTTCACAAGCCTTATAGCTTCAGTCTTATGAACAATCTATCTTTTGACATTTTTTTTTTCTCAAAGGTGTTCTGGAAAGCAGAGAATGTGGGAACATAATAAACATGAGTCATATGGAGGTGGAGGACCCCCCACTAGGGGCCTGGCATTTGGAGATAAATAGACTGTGAGAAGGTTACTGAAATTGCATTTGACTGGCCAAGTTCTCTTTCAGTGGAGTAGCAATGTGAAATAAAACGCAATACAATGGCTCCGAAGGATTGTTTGTAAGGATAAATAGGACAGGAGACAGACTCTCATGTGCTATGTTTTTCCCATTTCAGATTAATTTAAAAACCACTTATCTAATAAAAAATTTACTGTTAATTGATACAAGTTAAGTACTACTACTGTTAGTACTATTAAGTACTATTAGTACAGAAGAGATTTATTTCATCTCGTGCTGTTTGGAAATTTGACATCATTCCTGGCTTTCACCTCACCCCGCCCCCCCATTATAATCCATTGGAAATGGGACAGCGACAAGAGCTATTTAATGTGTCACAACACAGAGTGAGGGGAAGAAGTGCTGGAAGTGGAGGCTTTTCAAAGAGTGGAGGAAATAGTGAAGCATGATGATTACAGAATATGTTTTTTTTTCCTTCTTTCTCCCTCCTTTTTTGTATGAGCTTTGTTTTTGTTTTTGTTTTTGTTTTCTTATTTTATGGCTAAAGTGTTATTCCTAAAGGGTGTGTTCTTTCAGGTTTATGGCCCTGACTAATGGAATTGCTCTAAATAACATTTTGATCTTGTAAGGTCACCCAGAGTGCTATACCTTTCCTTTAATGAGTCAGGTCTGGACCAGGCATTTCCCAGAATTGAGATGGTAATGAAGTCATTAGTTTCTTCCTACTTGAAGCCCTGGCTAGAAAGCAGAATTCTATGGGCAAAGTCTGAGTGGGCTTTTTTCATAAATCTCACACCCAGCTGAGCTGTAACACCTGTTACATTTTCCCAGGAGCTTGAGCCATAAGACCATTTCCAATCTATTTGCTCTTCTTCTTCCACAGGACACTGACAAAGGCAGGGGTCCCTGTTTTCTAAGGCACTGCTAATTGAAAATCTCTGGCTGGTGCAAATGTGAGCTCAAACCCACAAGAGTTCCAAATAAGGCCCCAATGATTATTTCCTCCTCTTTTTAAAAATAGCCTTTATAATGCAGGTTATACAAGATTAATTTGTTCGAGGGAAAAATAGTCATTGAACCCTTGCCCCCAATAAACTTTTGCTTTCCATGCACAGTTTTTTAAAAAAGAAAGAAAGGAGAGGGGAAAATAATAAAACCCAGAGATCAGCTAACCCTACAAGCCCTGTGTTTGTGGGAATTGAAGGATGGGGGTAGCATTAAAGTGTGTTTGCTTTTGCTGTGGGCTTTTAAAATCTTTCCTATTTATTAATTTTGAACACAAGAATTGGGAACAAAATTGAGTCAGATGATTGTGCAGATGTAAAGTGATTACAATGGCAATGGAAAGTTTAAAAGAAAATTGTATTTTCATAACCTGAGTAATTAAAAGAAGAGGCAATTTCCCTATAGAATCCTTGAAAGGAAAAAAAAAACACGCATCCATCAATAGAAAAGATGGGCAACTCCAGCCCTAATAGCAGTGGGGGGGGGGAACCCTGAAAAACAAGGACAGGATTATGTGTCAGATGACATTTAATATAAACACATTCACGATTACATATTGCTCTGGGAGTCCGAACACCCTAAGGGTGTGAGTCTTGAAGTCAAAACTTTTGAGACCCACAAGTCATAACACAGCCAGTTATCAACTGTTCCCTGTAGTCCCACCAACTGCATTTTTCACCGAAATCCCCTAAAGAAACAAACTGCCTTTGAATTCTGTACTGTGCTTCATTGGTTATTTTTTTGTTTCTTTGTTTGTCGCTTTGGGGATTTGTTGTTGTTGTTTTTAAGTATATTGCTTGTATTATTGTCATTGTTTGAGCTAGGTACTTTTGTATATCTCATTCTTAAGATACATTCTCTTTAACTATTTTCCTGCTTGTCTAATAATTGAGAAGACAGTCTCAGCTTTTTACTATGAGGAGGGAGTATTGATCAGTAGGAAGAGGCTATCATTTCATTGCAAGAGAAAAAAGTAAATTTTTAAGTAATTGTTTAATAAGCTCTATTCCCAGAGCAAAAAATTGTTTTCATTTTATTTTGTTTTGTTTATTTATTTATTTATTTATTTTTGAGACAGAATTTCGCTCTGTAGCCCAGGCTGGAGTGCAGTGGCACAATCTCTACTCACTGCAACCTCCGCCTCCCAGGTTCCAGCAGTTCTCCTGCCTTAGCCTCCCAAGTAGCTTGGATTACAAGCACCTCCCACCACACCCGGCTAATTTTTGTATTGTTAGTAGCGAGAGATGGGGTTTCACCATGTTGGCCAGGCTGGTCTCAACCACCTGACCTCAAGCCTCCTAAAGTTCTGGGGTAACAGGTGTGAGCCACGGTGCTGGTTCAAATAGTTTTAATTCTACTGTGACATCTATATATAGGTCTAAATCCAATCGTGAAAAGAGCTGAGGTGACCAGAACCTTCAATACTTACTGAAATAGTTCCTAAACCATATACGAGTCCCTAAAAAATAAATTTGGATGCGTATTTATTGAAAAGGAAAGAGGTTCACAATCCATCACTGAGGAAAAAGCTTTTAAATGGACCCACTTGAAAGTTGTCATCGTTTGGCGGGTCGAAAATGTTCAAATATTTGCAATTTCCTATTTTAACTTAAATATTATGCAAGACAATATGAATATTATGATCTGATTTTGTTGTTTTTTAATATATACTCTGAAAATTTAGCAGCAGTTATCCTTGGGATGGGATTATGGGTCACTTTTAATTCGTTTCCTCTTTTGGCTTACCTATATTTTTTACTTCTTCAGGAATAAATCCCTGGGTTTACCCTCAAGCTCCAGTCTGAAGCTAGCCAAAATATTTGAGAAAATATTAGTCATTTCCTTGTGGCTGCTGTCAATCTTCATCCCCATTCTCAGCCTACTTGTACTCTTCAGGGTTGTTGAGTTTTTTCCCTATCTGTATTTCAGCAATTCTAACTATTAATACATAACCCATAGGGTTTGACACTACAACGAGTCAAACAATCTGATAACTTAAAAATCACATTGGGGCCGGGCGCGGTGGCTCACGCCTGTAATCCCAGCACTTTGGGAGGCCGAGGCGGGTGGATCACGAGGTCAGGAGATCGAGACCATCCTGGCTAACACGGTGAAACCCCGTCTCTAATAAAAAAATACAAAAAATTGGCCAGGTGTGGTGGCGGGCGCCTGTAGTCCCAGCTACTTGGGAGGCTGAGGCAGGAGAATGGCGTGAACCCGGGAGGCGGAGCTTGCAGTGAGCCGAGATCGCACCACTGCACTCCAGCCTGGGCGACAGAGCAAGACTCTGTCTCAAAAAATAAAGAAAAAAAAGAAAAAGAAATCACATTGGATTAGGAAACAAATCTACAATTGACCTGGATTTCTTTTTTTCTACCTAAACCCACTATAAATATAATATGTCACAATTCTGTCCAAAGAATTTTACGTTCCTGTCCACTGCACTGAAAATTAGAGATAGGCTCTCACAGAGGAAAAGCGATGCAAAACAAAGACTCTCAACAGCCTGAATGGAAATTTCTAGAAAAAATATGGTTCAGGTGGTAACTTCTTATCCGTTAAGAAGGACCAGTAACACTGATTCTGTCAGACATATCTTCTCTCATTTCCAGAAGTTTGGATTATTTCTAGATTTTTCTATCTCTTTCTCATCACCTACTCCTTTAGTTCCCTGCTTATCAAATGAGTGCTTTTCTGGCTTTACATTGATCATCGCCAATTTTTACTTTTCTTCTTTCTTGTTTTATTTGGCCATTGTTGTCCAAGAGAGCTAAACTTTGCCATCCTGTTTTGCCAATAGATTCTATCATTTATTTCAATATTTCCTGTCAGATATTAGTACCTGACTTGATGGATTTTCTATTTTGTATGTGTTAGTAATGAATATTAGTGTTTATAATCTTCTTTAAAGCTCAGAATTTATTTTAAAGGGAACTATTAAATCTTTAGGTTGGTGATACTGATCTATGTTTTAATGATGGAAAGCTGGGGAAAAATAATTTTAAATTAAACCTCACACCATTAACAGAGGCAGCATGAAGTGTTAGAAATTAAATTGCTTGTAAGTGGAGGTTATAACCCAGGTTCTGTAACAAACTCTGGGTGACTTTGAGCATGTGTCACTTAACCTCTTTGGGCCTTAAGTATCATCATCTGTATGTTAAAAGATTTTCAAGAGACAGAACATAGGTCTCTCTATTTCTGCTTTTGTTTGGCTCTCAATCCATTAATCCATAAATCCTCTTTGAGCTCCTGTGTGACTCTGATGCAACATTGATTGTCTACAATGACCAATAGCCAAGATCCACCCGGCCTGTGATTCCCACAGCTGTGAGACTCAGCTCTGAATCTTGAGTTGCCAAGGCACAGAGATTCTCTTATTATTTCTTTACTATTTCCTAATGGCTCTTTTGGTTTTCAAGGCACAGAAAGAATTCTCCTGACAGATGCTTCCACTGGGTGCAAGTAGCCCTGCTGCATAAACTTCTCCTATGCAACAGCTGATGGAGTTGAGTTTCACTGTGTCCATAGATGTCCAACACCATATTTAGGAATTTCCCAGACTCTCATTCTTCCCCAAATTCCCACCCAAACTGCACCCCTGTGGAACAGAAGTGAAAATTGACTAAGAATGTTATTCAGAATCAAATGGGAAAGTTTCCACAGCTCCAGGTAATAAAAGTAAAAAGACAGGGTGATCTTTGAATTCCTCTGGAGAAAAATTAAAATGTTCTTTATTAGTTGCTATAGTGTCCAAGGAAAGCCTCCTCTCACCCTTTTTTTTTTTTAAATAAGGGCTTCTCCTTCCTACACAGTTCTTTTAATACAAGTGAAAAATTCCAAATTCCTCATTTGTTTAGCTTGAAAATCCCCTGCACATTCCCACAAACTACTTCCTTTTCTCTCTTTTTAGCAAGACTCCCCTCTCTTTAATGAAGAGAAGTTCAGAGGGTTTTTCCCATGAATAGATGGCAGGCACCTGGGAGTTATGAATTTTAAAGTGATCATTTTCTTTCAGCCATGCTGGACAATGGGCATCTCCTTTTGACTCACTTTCACAGCTTTGAGAGGCTCTCAGATCAGCCACATTCCAATCGGACTGGAGTCAGATCAGAGCTGTGCTGGACCGCATCAAGGTCTCGCACAGAAAGACAAGGAGCAGATGGCCGGCACCGAGCCCTCCTCCCCCTTTCAGCGTGCAAAGGCAGGCAATGTGGGAAAGCGTTCGCCCGGCATTGCCTATTGATCCCTGAATAGAACCACCGCATGCCACCAGCCTGTAGGTATGAACCTCTGTTAACAGATGGTGAGATCATTATGAGCAATTAATTCCTTTAATGTATCAGTGGGAACATGTTGGAAAAGATGATGCAAGCACTGAGTGAATAGTGAACTTCTCACTCCTGGGGGAGCACGCAGGATCTACCTTGGGGGGTGCTGGGAATATCTTCCCAGGCTGCATCTATATCCCAGGCTGGAGACAGGAGCTGGGAACTGACTCCACAGAACAGAGGTGTGGTTTTCATTAACTAATTGTGAATCCTTGCCTTTCTTCATGATTAATGCCAGATTTGTCTCTAGGTCATTTTTATGTATACATAAGAATCATCCAAAACACAGAAACAAACAAAAACAATGTTGGTCAGTAAGTCCAAGATGCATGGGGAATTGTTTCACAGAAATCAGCAAAGTATCAGGTCATGGGTCACATTTGCTAAACACAAATATGGTTGTGACAGTTCTAAATTGAAAATAAATGTTGCTTTTGACAAAGATAAAAGAATGATAAAAATATGCACAGCCCAGCATTGGAGTAAGGAAGACAATGTTTGGACGTGTTATAAATTAGTACTTTTAAAAGAGGATTTAAAAAAAAAATGAACCCACATATATAATGAATTGGAGCAAATGACACATGTAGCAAATTATTTCCCCCAGCATAAGCTGGAATAATTTTTAGATCTCAGTAACAATATGAGAATGACTATCAGTGGCCAACTGAAAAAACCTGGTACCCTGTTATTCAGAAATGGCTCTGAGTACTAATCAGTGCAATAACAATGGCGTTTTTACATGTTTCCCGACTTTTTTTTTTTTAATATTTCATAGTGGAGGTGTTTTTCTTTCACAGGAAAAAGAAAAATCTTCTAACACAGTATGGATCATTGGGCAGAAGACAGAAAATACAGAAACAGGAAATACAGGCAACTATTCACTTAATTCATATTTAAATGACACTTTCTGCTTGTAATTAAGACACTCAAGTAGTGTCTCTGTTCATGAAATTTACATAACTGTACAATAGCTTGCCTAAATGAACAGCAAATGGCAGTTAACTTTGAAGTGTATTATCTTAATTGAATAAATCTGGCTTTAATTCAATAAATTAAAAACATAGAAAAAATATCGCAAAGACTTTTAAAAACAGACTTGCCACCCCCCATAAATACAGCATGGTACTGTTTATAGCTGTGTTGGAATGCTCGGACATTTTCCAGTATGATTTTAGAACTCTAAAAGCATTCCGGTACACACTCACTGTTTTTCCATCATTGTTTCCAAAGCAAATCAATGTCACTTTCTGGAAATCATTGATAAGAATATCTGAACACGAAATCAAAACACATAAGCTTGCTTATATGAGATGGTTCCTCATCTGGGCTTCCAATTTCTCCATCTCCATGGGAAATCTGGTCTTTCTCTTTTTCAATTCTGTATCACTGAGTGTCCTATGACATAGAGAAAAGACTAAATAGAGGAAAATCGTTTTCTTGCATAGGAAATACACGTTCCCATCACTTTTCCATTTAAATCAGATTTACATGGATCATAAATCCCTTCAGCATAGGAGAACTGACAGAAGATGCTAAATTCTCCCCTCCCAAAGTTTGTTGCTTTAATCAGCACCATCGTGTTTCAGTGATTATATAGTTAAGGAGAAGAAATCATGCAATATGTTTTTATTTGCATGAAATAAGTTAATTAGGCACCACCTGTGCCTTGTATCAGTCAACTAGGGGAAAAAAAAGGCAGGAGAACACAGGTGTTCTAAGAGCATCATAGTAGATTTTATACATTAACTTAAAAATTCTAAAACCTAAAATCACTTATCAGAATCCAGCAGCGCATATTGCTAAGGAATAACCCATGCACGATTGCGCACGCACACACAGACACACACACACACACACACACACGCACACACACACAGATATAAATAAAAATCGCTGTGAAGAAATTCCTGGTTTCTTGGCTAGCAAGAAAAAAAAGGTCGTAATTCATTCTTTCCTCGTTCTCACAGTGTTCACTATTGTACCATCTGCAATATACAATGTACATGCTCAGCCATAACCCATACGGCTGGAAAAGAAGCATTCACACTGTGAATTACCATTTTTCCCAGCATCTAGCTCTAGTCAAAGACAGCACAATAATAAACTAGAAGCTCCTTTGTCTGTTAAACATTGTTCTTCATTACTACATGAAAAGCAAATTGTCTTTGTATAGAGGAAGAGTGGCACACACGGCCATGGGAGTGGGGGAAGGGATTTGTCTCTCTCACTGACCACCTCACAGCCACGGCGGCCATTCTTCTTTCTCCACTTGCCCACCCAACTATGCCTTGGAAATTACTTCATCTGCAAGCCCATTGGGGATAGATCCCTTGCTCCATTGAGTGAGATGTTGGATTAGAGACTCATGGTATGCTTTTACACTGAATGTCCTGACACTTACATCCACAGATACATATTTTTAAAATCAATTTGGTCTGTCACTTTTTACTTTTTTATGAGAAGTGAAGCTTATCCCAGACATTCTTTTTTTCTGGGCTAAATATACTCAGCAAGTTATTGTGGGTTGTTTGGGCTCCTAAGAGCCAAGTGAAAAGCAAGCGAGGAAGAAAACCAAGAAAATATTTGGAGCAGCAGATATAGATAAAAATGTAAACATATAGCTATAGCACATAGTAATGCTTACTATGAAAGTTAAGAAAATGTATACATTAGACCAGAACTAACTCATCCAATGAAAGGGTCCTTGTAATGGAAATCGGTCACTTATAAGAAATTAATGATGGCCTAAAGGTTTTTTATTCTTTTGGATTTAACAAATTCCAACAAATCTTTCACCCAATGAACTTGCTTACAAAAACTTTACCAAATTAAACTTTACCAAACAAAAACTTTACCAAATTAAAATATCATGACAGATAGACATGAAGGCCAATGGGCAAACTCAAGTCCTTATTTCAAATGTCAAAGAAAATTGCTTCTTTGTGACACCTCGTTTCACTCTCAATGGATCATTGCCATAGTGTGTTGCTGGAAAGGTGTGCCAGGAGATGTAGAAGGGTGCTCTGACAGGCATAAAGTGAGCGGCAAAAGTCAGATCTGTAGAATTAACCGTACTGGATAGGGACTGGCTGAACAAAATAAACCACCTGATTATCAGTCCCAAAGTAGTTCAGTTTGTGTGTTCACTGTTAAAAAGAAGCCGAGATCTCATCAGAGACTAGTAAAAATCACTGGGGAGAGAATGTCCAAAGATAAACTGTGGACATAAAACAGCTGTTTCTATATTGGCGGGTTTTGCAGTAGACTTTGTGATTGCTAGTTTTCCTCCCTTGCATGGGAATAATACTTGGCTCACCGAGTTGTCATTAAGCTTCAAAAACATTATATGTATAAAATAACTCCAATAATTTCCCGTATATAGTAGGTTCACAATAAGTGCCAGTTGCCTTTTCAGATGCAGATTAACATTTGATTTTAATTTAGGAAGAAAAGAACTTAATTGCCAAGTACCATGTTCACATTCGTTCTCTTACAGGAGACATAATTTTTTATTTTTAATGTGCCATACTTGACAACCTGAGAACTTATGATTGTGAAGTAATCATAATGATTCCTCCCAACTTTGAAATGCTGTTATTCTGGAATATTCCCCAATTTCTAAACTTTATATACTCAACCCAGAAAATAAGTCTATTCTCCTAGAGGTCACAACTATAATCTATCTAAAGAGAAGCCTGCTTATGTATTTTTACCATGTGACATGTGACTTAGGGCTAGCTTTGACTTAGGCAGGCCCATTCTATGTAAACATGATGCTGACATCACCAGGAGACAGAGGAAGAATCTCAGTCCATGCCCATGAGAAAGTGGTAAAAATACATGAGTCACATTAGAAACATCTGTCTTCAATCCCAAATTAAGGACTTCCCAGAATAAGGGACAACTTGTGGACCACATGATCTGCTCTCCAACTTGAACTATTTGCTTATTTGTCTTAATTCTATGAATATATAAAAAATAGCTAATGGTTTCCCTTTCTTAATAATACTGCATTTCCTTGAGAGTTTGCATGCTGGTTTCCAAATTGTTACAACAAATATATTTTTTTAATTTTCAGCTCGAATGCCCCTTCTTAATTTAGAATGACAATATTTGTTCCTCAACTCATAAAACAAAGCATTTATTAACAGTCCCTATAATTCTGCTTTTTGTCACTTGCAGGGAAACATGTTGAACTTACTGACTGTAGATCTTCACATTTAAGATTCTCCCTTTTCAATATCTTTTTTCTCTTCTTCTCCATGGGCCCTTCTTCATCGTTTCAAACATACATAGATATCCTCAGTCTAGAGCAGTTGTTCTAACCTGGGGACAATTCTACCTCTAGGGGACATTTAACAATGTCTGGAATCATTTTTGTTGTCAAATTGGGTGGAGGGGTGATACTGGCATCTGGTGGGTAGAGGTCAGAGCTGTTGCAGAATTTCCTACAATGCACAGGGTAGCCCCATTGCCTGTCCCCACAACAAAGAATCATCCAGCTCAAAATATCAATTGTTTCAAAGTGGAGAAGCCCTCATCTAGAGGGGAAAACAAATGTTTTTAAAAACTAGTTGTATATAATTTTTGCATCTAGCTACTCCCTACACATCCTTTATTTCATTGCTAAACTTTTCTCCTTTTTTTGCTTTTTTTTTTTGAGACGGAGTCTCGCTCTGTCACCCAGGCTGGAGTGCAGTGGCGCGATCTCGGCTCACTGCCAGCTCCGCTTCCCAGGTTCACGCCATTCTCCTGCCTCAGCCTCCCAAGTAGCTGGGACTACAGGTGCCTGCCACCACGCCCGGCTAATTTTTTTGTACTTTTAGTAGAGACGGGGTTTCACCATGTTAGCCAGGATGGTCTTGATCTCCTGACCTCATGATCCACCCGCCTCGGCCTCCCAAAGTGCTGGGATTACAGGTGTGAGCCACCACGCCCGGCCTTTTTTTGCTTTTTGGTTTTTTGTTTTTGTTTTTTTGTTGGAGAGATGGAGTTTTGCATTTTTGCTCAGGCTGGTCTCAATCTCCTGAGCTCAAATGATCCATCCACCTCGGCCTCCCAAAGTGCTGGGATTACAGGCGTGAGCCAGTGCACCCAGCCCGTTGCTAAACTTTTCTAAGACATCTCCCCTGCATCCATATTCTATTATGCTCTTAATCTTCTGCAGCTGATTTTCCTTCCAAGCAACTCACTGCAACTGCTCTCTTTAGGGTCACCAACCTCCTTAATTGTCAAATCAAACAATCCAATAAACATTTTTTCCAGCCTTATCTTATTTTGACACCTCTATTGCATTCAAACTGTTGGTCTTTTTCTCCTTCTTATAATACTCTTGTCTCTTTTTCTTTGCCCCTTGACACAATCCTCCTCAAGTCTTCATCCTTGTGATCATAATCATCATCATCATCAATCCATCATCACAACTCCTAACATCACATGCATCACTTCATTCTGTTCTCCATTTAAATCCCCCTATCAGGAGCACTTCTACACTGCTGGTGGGAATGTAAACTAGTACAGCCACTATGGAAAACAGTGTGGAGGTTCCTTAAAGAACTAAAAATAGAACTACCATTTGATCCAGCAATCCCATTACTGGGTATCTACCCAGAGGGAAATAAGTCATTATTTGAGGAAGACACTTGCACATGCATGTTTATAGCAGCACAAGTCACAATTGCAAAATCCTGGAACCAACCCAAATGCCCATCAGTCAATGAGTGGATAAAGAAACTGTGGTGTATATATACAATGCAATACTACACAGCCATAAAAAGGATTGAATTAACAGCATTTGCAGTGACCTGGATGAGATTGGAGACTATTATTATAAGTGAGGTAACCCAGGAATGGAAAACCAAACATCGTATGTTCTCACTGGTATGTGAGAGCTAAGCTATGAGGACACAGAGGCATACGAATGACACAGTGGACTTCGGGGACTTGGGGGGAAAAGTGGGAGGGGGGAGAGATAAAAGACTACGCATATGGTGGGTGCAATGTACACTGCTCAGTTGATGGGTGCACCAAAATCTCACAAATCACCACTGAAGAACTCTAACCAAATTCCACCTGTACCCCAATAACTTATGGAAATATATTTTAAAAAATAACAAAACCATAAAAACATAAATAAGTAAATAAATAAATAAATCCCCCCTATCAGAGAGGTTTCTCCTGGCTACCCTACCCAATGTAACACCATCTGATCTTTCTATGCTCTTGTTTCTCTTCATAGCATTTTTTGCCACCCAATATTATTTTATATGTGAATTTTAATTTTTTCATTGTCTCTTCTCACCCCACTCCCTTTCCTCCAGATTGTAAGCTTTATGATAGAATAGGAACAATATCTATCTTGTTCACTTCCATCTTATTAGTACCTAGTACTCAGTAGCTACACAGGCATATTTGTTGAATGAATAAAAGGATAAGTGAGAAAATGAAGGGAAACGGGGCCTATGAAGTGCTTTCTAGTAGCAGGCACTGTGCTTAGTTAGCACAGTATCCTTCCAGCACTGGTAGTATATGCTTTCTTACAACTCTTTGTCTCCTAAGATGCTGCTCCAAGCTGATACTCCTATTTCGATGACCACTTCTCTGTCTCCTTTGATGCCTCCTCTTCTTCCTCTTACTGCCTGGCTACTTCTAAGATTCCCTCCTTGATGCTATGCCATCCCATTGCTCTGTGCTCTCTTTGACAGCATGTTTTAGTGTCCCGCTTCAGTGGCCCCAATAGCACAAAATTCAGTATGCCACACCTCACATCTGCAGAACCAGCTGTATTATTCATCCTTGTGGCAGACCTACCACGTCTAGGCCAGTGCTGTTGCTGGTGACTGTTTCAACATTTGCAAAGGCCTTGATGCAGGAAGAGGCCTTCATGCAGGAAGAAGCCTTGAACTTTTAGGGAAGTGGTGAAAGTCCAGTGTGGCTGGAATGAGGAGTGAGGGGTGCAACAATGATAAAATATGCTGGTGAAGAAATCTTTACTGGACACCCCTTTTGTGTATACAATTATCTAAGATGTGTGGGCAAAAAATTAAAGATGAACTTGATGCCCCTTCATCAATAAAGTTTGGTGATTTAGTATCACAAGCATACTGTCTAAATGGTGCTCATGTCTGTGTCCCAATCAAACACCTTTATTTCACTGTGTAAAGCTCCCCCCGCCCCGCCCCCCGCTTGCATCCTTTCTGACGTTCCCCTATGGTCGATTTCACTGCTCCTGCTTACTTCACAAAACCAATTATCAGGCATTGTTTATTTTTTAAAATGGTGATCTCTATATAACATTATTCAGAACAAGAAAATATAGTTTTATTTTAAAGTGTTAAGAATCCACATGGAACTTAAATTACATGTAACAGAGGAAAGCACAGTTTTTGGAAGTGGCCATATAACTTTAAAAAGATGGGCCGGGTACAGTGGCTCAAGCCTGGAATCCTTCAGCACTTAGGGAGGCCGAGGCGGGTGGATCACCTGAGGTCAGGAGTTTGAGACCAGCCTGGCCAACATGGTGAAACCCCACCTCTACTATAAAAATACAAAAATTAGCCAGTTGTGGTGGCAGCCACCTGTAATCCCAGATACTCAGGTGGCTGAGCCAGGAGAATCGCTTGAACCCAGGAAATGGAGGTTGCAGTGAGCTGAGATCACACCACATAGCACTCCAGCCTGGCAACAAAGTGAGACTCCGTCTCAAGAAAAAAAAAAAAAAAGATGCCATTAGCTTTTCCCTCTTGTACCCAACTAAGTTTTCTTCTTCAAAGTATTTTTTTTTTCCTTCCTATAACTCAATTTTCTTCTAGCCAGGTTCTTTGCCTTTATAGAAAAGTCCTCAATGGTAAGCAAACTGCTGAAAGAAATCACATATAACGTGAGTTATCAAGGGGAATTTGAAAGAAAAGTAATTTCTTTCTAGGAATACCAGCCAAGACAAAGAAGAAGCTGAGTGTATGTAAGTGTGTGTGCATGTATACATGTGTCTGCTTATGGCAATATTTATACATAACATGGAATCAGCTTCTGAGGTATTCTTAGACATCGTCTACTTTTAAAATTTTCAATAGTCATGAACTCAATAAGTAATAAATAAATAAGAGATGACTTCCACTATAGGTGAGGCAATTACATAGATAACTTACTTTAAAAATCTTTTGAGAAAAAATAAGCAGATATCGTAAAAAAAAAAGAGTAAGTTTAAGCATTTTGGAAACTGTAAGGTATTAGACAAATGCAACATGTTATTCTTATTAATAAATAATGACTTGTACATTACTTGGCTTTGCACATTTAGAAATACGGTGTGACTGAAACATTATCATTGGGAGCCGCTTTAAATATAAGTGTGAAGTAAATTTGAGAGAGAATCTAGAAGAAAATAATTACTTTTTTCTTTCTGAACTTGTCTTAGAATGTTTATAGTTGAAGTTTTTTATTTTAAATCACTGTTTTTCTTTTCTATACTAATATGTCTTCTATACTAATTATCTTCTAGTCTAATATGCCTGGACATGAAGTGAAGACGGGAGTGTAGATGTAATATTCTGCCTAGAAAGATTTGTATTTCTGTGATACTATATACCATCAGTTTAACTGATTAAAAGAATTAACCAACTGGCAACCATGGGTGTTTTCATTACTTGGGTATTTTAGCACATTTTCAACTGAGAGAGATAAAAGAGGTAGAAACCACTTGGGAATCACGGATAACAACAGGGTATATTTAGATAATGGAAATTTGATATTAATTTTGGGGAGAAATAGCTGAAATCCTGCAATATGTGGAATCAAGAACTTTGGTTATTTGTCGGGTCCCTGTATTGCACAGTTTAAAACTGATGCTTATAAGAATCACTTGGTTTGCAAAATTGCCAAGGGACTAAATGACTTAATCAACCTTTCCCATTTTTATCTGCAGTCAATCTAAGCTTATTATTATCAAACCACTCAAGTGATGGCCCCTGATTGAAGAGAACATTCCATGGGGAACAACATGAGTAGCCTTCCCTCCTGGGAGGGGGGATATCCACAGACATTGCAATGTTCTTTTTTTCACCTTCAGCCTCTATAGGTAGAAACTTAAAAGCCATTTTGAACATTATCTCATTATCCCTTCACTTTTGAACTAGGAGTTGATTACCCTTAATTTGCAAGGGGGCACTGTATTGAGAAGTAAGCCGATTTCACTAATGTTACATACAAAGCACTCTGCACCAAGCTAAGAACAGAATTCAGACCTTCAGGTCATGATTCAACCTCTGCCTCTGTATTTGCATAGCATAATATTATGAATAGGATCCTCTCCTCTTCTGAAAAATAACAAGATATTATTAACAAAATGAATCCTTTAATGCACACTTAAAATCCTGTTTCTTAAATCAAAGGTGGCTATTTCTGGAAAAGAAATAAATTCAGGCATTCAAATATAGCAGTGGTTTTATTTTATTTATTTGTTTTTCCAGTTAGAAAGCTGCTCTGCTCAATAAGAGCCCAAATGAATGACTACATTCTTCAAAGAGACAAACTAAGGTAACCCTGATTGTTATGTTGACTTTGTTAAAGGCAATGGCCCAAAGCATTAGTAATTAAAGCTCATTTAAAATTAATTTAATTTTCAGGAGCCCATAAACTCATAAAATCAGGCACATGTAAAATAAACAGCTACAGATGCATTTTTGAAACCTAATAGTTTCCAAAGTGAAAAGATGGAACAAGAGAAGGAGAAAGAAAAGGGAATAAAGAGAGAGTGAGAAAAGAGAAAGTGCCCAGTATTAGTCTAAGAAGCTTGTCTTTTGAGCCCCAGTCCACTGTTTCAAAGGCAGGATTAGTTAGTTCACTTAGTAAAATTTCAAGTTGCTGAAGCATCATTGTGCTTCTCTTCAGAATGGAGCCAAATTAGATGGAGACATTGGAAAATGCTTCTCTGGGAAAACATTAATTTTGTACACATTTCTCAAAACAGATGAGAGCTCCCATTTCTACTACCTTAACTCTGCAGAAATTAATTAACTACTTTTGGCAGTAGAGTATTACCCAACCTTTACATTGATGAAAGCTTCAACTATTCCTCACAACTTTTAGACACAGGCTTTTAGATGACCAAACATGAGTTCTGGGAAAAGTGATTAATATATCTAAACTGTGGTCCAACTTTTATTTTTAAAAATAAAATGAAAGATGTAGAAACACCTTATTTTCAAAATAAGGGTTGGGAGTGAGAAATCTACTTGTGCAAATGTGGAAAAGGACAGTGGCATCTACAGTAAGCTGCAAGTGTAGATGTTTGAGTGTAAGAGCTAGAGGTGGAGTATGCATGTGGGAGAGCAAAGGACATGAAAATAAAAGTAACAGTCTCCTTTCTCTCCCCATCCCTTTCTCTCTTTACAGAATACACACTTTCAGTCAACTAAATGACCTAATACTGAAAATACAATGGCTTCAGAAAAGACAGACTATTTACAGAACTCTATTCGTGAAACAGACATTAGAGACAATCCAATCCGATCTCTGTTACATTCAGTAAGTCCAGCAAAAGCCCCTGGATAGTGATGTTTGTTTTCTCTCACCAGCTCACTTGTAGTTGAGGCTGACAAGTTTAGAAAACTTGTCTAGAAGTCTGCCACCCATTTGGTGGCACAGAGCAATTCTTAGAAGGCTATTCTAAGTCCTAATTCTGCTCTCTTGAGCAACACAGGATACAATATGTTGCTCCTCTTCATCTGCAGGCAATAGTATGGTGGTCAGACCTGGGTCAGAGAGACATGGGTGGATTACTCAACCTCTCTAAGCATCAGCTTCATTACCTGTAAAAGGAAATAACAGGTATTTCCAATCCTCAGAAAAAGGATTTTTGTTAGGGTTAATGAAATAATGCACTTAGAACAATGCCTAGAATTTAACTAATGCTTAACTACATTAGCTGCTTTGATGGTGTTTAGGTGTCAGACAGCCCTGAGTTCAAATCTCAGCTCCACTGTTTAGTAGCTGTCCTTAGGTTAATACATTTATCTGAGCTTCTGTTTTTTTTTTTATCTTTGAGATGTCTATCTCACAAGGGTTTTGTAAGATTTAATGAAAAAAATTTAAAGTGGCTGATATTTGGCTCTAATATTTTTATCATCATTGTCATCAGTGAACACTTAATCAATGTCCTCCTTAAATTATATTGCTAGAAACTGATAAAAAAACAATTCTAAAGTAGTCAGAATCAGCCCAAAGGGTACCGTGAAGACTGTCTCCCTTGACCCTAAACATGATACAGTAGTCCTGCCACTCCCCCCACAGTCCCCCACCACCCCCACAGCCCCCTGCACCATCCATGGTTTTGCCTTCTGCAGTTTCAGTTACCCTGGCCCAACTGTCATCTGGAAATATTAAATGGAAAATTCCAGAAATAAAAAATTCATAAGTGTTAAATTGCACACCGTTCTGAGTAGTGTGATGAAATCTTACACCATCCTGCTCCATCCTGCTTGGGACGTGAATCATCTCTTTGTCCAGCATATCCACACTGTATGCACTCCCTGCCCATGAATCACATAGAAACCATCTCGATGAGCAGATCGGCTGTCGCCATTTCACAGTGCTTGTGTTCAACTAACCCACATTTTACTTAGTAATGGCCCCAAAGTATGAGAGTAGTGATGCTGGCAATCTGGCTATGCCAAAGAAAAGTAAAGTGCATCCTTTAAGTGAAAAGATGAAAGTTCTCAACTTAATAAGAAAAAATATATATACTGAGGTTGCTAAAGTCTACGATAAAAATCGTTTATCCATGAAATTGTGAAGAAGGAAAAAGAACTTTATACTAGTTCTGTGGTTGCACCTCAAACTGCGAAAGTTATGGCCACAGTGCATAAGAGCTTAATTAAGATGAAAAGGCATTAAATGTGTGGGTGGAAGACATGAACAGAAACACGTTCCGATTGATGGCCATCGGGTTCGGTGCTATCTGCAGTTTCAGGCATCCACTGAGGGTCTCGAAGTATATCCCCTGTGGATAAGGGGTGGGGGGACTATTGTACATTCTTTAATGCAGTCTAACATTGTATTTGTTTTTCTTCTTTTAGACCCTTAGAAATAAGAGTATGAAAGAGAAAATACATACTCTGGAATCCATTGGTCCTACCCCACTTATTCAGAATAATTCAATT
The DNA here is from genome assembly GCF_000001405.40 of Homo sapiens. Taxonomy (NCBI): domain Eukaryota; kingdom Metazoa; phylum Chordata; class Mammalia; order Primates; family Hominidae; genus Homo; species Homo sapiens. The sequence continues at coordinate 19,732,130 of NC_000006.12, forward strand.
AAAAACAACATACACCATATAGGAATGTCAACAGTGAAGGTGAGTCGCATGAGAATTCTCTTTTGAAAAAGACGTATTTATACTTAATTTATTTATCCAGTCCAGTAATTACTCTGCAAACACTTGCCAAGTGCCTACAGACTGCGTCAAGCATAGCCTTACTCTCTAGCTTTCTAGGTCTCATGATTCAGGGGCATCTGGGATCCTATGACCTGTTTAACAGAATCCTATTTCTCTTAGATGGCCTTAAAATGACCTGTGTGTGATTTGCTCTACATAATTATTCATGTTTCCCAGAGAGGTAACATTATGTAGGTCTTCGAAATACAGATTTCAAATTGAAAAGGTTGAACTACCTCCCATCAAGATGGTAGCATATGAAAGGGCAATACATTCCAATCCCAACACAGCTAACCAGTGCATAAATCACCTGGACTTCTCCCTCATCTACAGAATAAGGGCACCATTCTAAGTAGTGTAAAAAGTCCCTTCTAGCCTTCTCATTCGAACATTATGTAACTGCATTATTCTATCATTAAGAATTTCCAGGCTGGGCGCAGTGGCTCCAGCCTGTAATCCCAGCACTTTGGGAGGCCCAGGCAGGTGGATCACCTGAGGTCAGGAGTTGGAGACCAGCCTGGCCAACATGGTGAAACCCCATCTCTACTAAAAAGACGAAAATTAGCTGGGCGTGGGGGCAGGTGCCTGTAATCCCAGCTACTCGGGAGGCTGAGGCAAGAGAATCACTTGAACCCAGGAGGCAGAGGTTGCAGTCAGCCGAGATCACGCCACTGCACTCCAGCCTAGACGACAAGAGTGAAACTCCGTCTACAAAAAAAAAAAAAAAGAATTTCCTGTAACACAAACTACCCATCTATGTATGTCCTAGGATAATAGCCCTAGGGTCAGTCATCATAGAATCAAATCAAAAGCTGATATCTTTGTTAACTCTCTAACAAATATTCTAGAGGAAACTCCTGATGTCCCAAAATATATGAAACCAGCCTCAAAAAAATTCCTGCACCACACAGTGCTGCTTTTCCTACCAGCTAACTTCCCTCCTCATTCCTATTTCTTTCAAGTTACAGAAGTCCATTTTGTTCATATATTTAATTGCCACGAGCTTCAAAGGAGGCCAAGCCCCACCTGGTCCCAGGGGTTAAAGGTTTGTTGGCCTTAGCAAATCAGCATTATTTTAATCCCCTTGCCAATGGCTGGTTTAGGATTGGTTTGCTGTTAAAAATGCATATTTGAGAGGAAGCTCCTTTTTCCTACCCCTTTGTTGAGCTATATGAGGTGATGCTCAGAGCTTCTGCAGCCATCTTGTGATCACAGGACCATAAACCTGAATATGGAAGTAAAGACATCAAACACAGCAAAGCAGAAAAATGGAAAACACCCAGGCCCTTCTTGACATTGTTGAGTTGCTGAGTTAACTGACTCTGATTAGTTAACTTGTCTACTTGTTATCTGAGATTTAAAATAGTCCTTTTTCATGGTTGTTTCTCAAATGGTAATGTGACTTCAAATAACTTGTGTGTCTGATTAAAATGCAGATTCTGATGTATTATAGGAGGCCCTGGGCTGGGTCTAGGGATTCTGCAGTTCTGACAAGCTCCCAGGTGAAGGTGACACTGCCAGTTCTGAGCCTGAACTCTGAGTAAGAAGGGTTTAATTCACTTTAGATAGATATTCAGTGACTAGTAGCTGAAATCATCCTAAATGACACAACTCTCTTAATCTAGTATTTTCTCTCATCATCTCCTACCTGTGTTGATGAATCTATTTAAGGACCTAAAAATTTTAACATTAATTTCAGTTGCTGTTAACCTGCATGCAGTTCATGCTTTGACTCGATTCCTCTCACTTCAATACCCCACCATCACTGGCACCTTCTTATTCTTTTCTGCCTTCAATAGGGCATTCACGAGTCCCAGCACCCACGGTGGGACAAAGGCGCCTGTGAATGCTAGGTGCCTTTGCCCTGCTCTAGCGTGGAGAGCTTGCCAGCACACCTGGCCCAAAGGTGATGCAGCTGCATGCACGTCGGTTCCTTCCCTGCCATCTCCAGCTCTAAAGAGAAATGCTTGAGCGCTTTTGCAAATCAAAACCTTTTCATCCTGAATTTGGTGATTCACCCTGAATGGTGTCTTCTTGGAAAGTCTGTAATGCACTATTGTGTAAGATGGGTAAAATTGGCCTGTCTCATTGACAACGCTCTTCTCATGGCTCGGGATGAGCTGAGGGAGGCGAGAGTCACAATAAAAAGGGTTCTTTACAAACGGCCTCCCTCCCGGGTCGATGTAGCCACGCCAGCGTACCTGCGTGGGATGGATGGGCTGTCTACGCCCGCTGTTGGTATCACTGCCCCCTTTATTCCTCACATCCCTCTGGATGAGAATTAGATTTCAGCAGGTATGAAGATGGTGCTTGTTTTTAACAAGGAAAATTTACAAAGCTTCCATACTGAAAAAAAAAAAAAAAAGTGTGGGGGAGGCAAGCATTCAAAGGCCATGCCAAATTTGCTTTTCCCCAAAGCAGGGAGAGACAAAGGAAATCCCAAGCATACCTCCCAGACACAAAGAACATGTGTTTACCCTCCAAATTCAAGCAAGTGAACTCAGCTCATTATCCCAGGAGCCGGCCACTGAGTCTATCCAGTTCAAGAAAATGCCTACGGTCCCATTCAGAGAGTGGAGTTTTATCTTTGTATTCAGAGTCAACTAACACTTCTTTTCACAGCAGACAACTCTACACTATGAACTTTCACATATATTATCTTATTTGATCTCTTCAACAACCAACCCTGTCTGGTAGATACTGGAATTAGTAAGAGAAAACTCCAGAATCTGAAATGTGCCTATTGAGCCCAAGAAAGAAATTTTTACAAGAGGAAAAGCTAAAATTGCATTGGTAAACTCTGTTAAATAGTGCTAGCACAGTTTTAAGAGCAATCTATACTTTTTATTTTCCACACAGCTAAAACAGACCTCTCCTTGGCTTGTGCCTCAGTGGGACAGTCCTGGTCTTTGCAGACAGAAAGACTGACCACCAGAACCTTGCCTTGGTAGCTTGTAGCCCTGGATTTATAACCCACAGTCACCTTGATGGGCCAGGACGATCTGGTCACAACTTGTCATGTCAGCTGCCAGCAAGCTAAGTCCAGCCCTTGGCCAAGTGTGTGTGGCTCTCTCAACTTTGTTCATTTGGATTCATTGCTGGTGTTTTAACATCTAGAGATGTCACATAAAAATCTGGATTTTTGAATTCTCCAAAGAAGTCAGAAGATCTGGCTGTACTACACCGTGGGATAATCCCTCTATGTCCTGGGCAGTGAGAGTGCCTCGAATCAGAGAAGGTGGTCTCCAGCTGGCCCACAAAAGCTCTCCCTGCTGTCTTTCCAACATGGGGGCCAGTGTTGTTTGTCAAATATCTATCATTCTACACCAGGGTCTCTCAGCCTCAGCACCGTTGGCATTTGGGGCCGGCCTATTCTTTGCTGTGGGGGACTGTCCTGTACATTGCAGGATGTTTAGCAGCATTCCTGGTCTCTGCCCACTAGATACCAGTAGCACCCCCCACCCCTAGTTGTTCCAAAATATCTCCAGGCATTGCCAAATGTTCTCTTTTTGGGAGTTGGAGACAAATTTCCCCAGGTTGAGAACTCCAGCTCTGCATACATGCAGCCCTCGTCAATCATTTCAGGTACTAGCCAAGCCCCCATCGATCAGTACTGGAGTCCGCATCTCCTACTGCCCCCAAATAGCCCTTCATACTACTACTGATGAAAATTCTAGACATACACACTGATTTCCTTCAATGCAGGCTTTGTGTTCCCTTTAAAATGAGTGTTGGCCTGGGTGAGGCACTATATTATCAGTCATTTATATATGTTGAAGTCTCTAGATCTTTTCTTAAGGGTAAATTTTCACAGAGGAGAGGATAAGGAGAGCCTGAAACCACTATCCCCTGAAGGAAGGTTGATAAAAGAAAGTGCTTTTAAGAAGGAAAGGAAACAGAGACAGAGTAACAAATGGGTTAAGGGATTTGCTTAAGTGCCAGCCCAGCAGGCATCCGCCTGAAACATAGCTTTATGGGGATCACCTGTGCACACTCTGCAATTTACTGCTTTGAATGAGTAGGAGAGTAGATTTACGCAAGTCCGCCTCCCTCTGCCTGGCTTAATGATGCACCTCATCGTATTCTGATGAAATCTAGATGCAATCATATTCTTGTCTTAACTAGTTGTGCTGGCAAGGGGGTCTTTCTCCACAACTGAAATTTCTCATGTTGGCAACATAGCTAAGAAAAACATACCCATTTGCCAGCTCCCCTCATTGCTGGCCCTAATTAAAGAGGATGGTGCCGCTCCTTTGAAAATGGCTGTTGAGGTCAAGGGGATGCTGAAAGGAGGAGAACCCTCTGCAGGGGTGATTACCCCATGTGTCCTCTTAGCAGGAACCTTAGCAGGAACATTGGGATCTGGTGAAGGGTATATTGCATCACAGGATCCAAGGAGAGTCATTCGGAGAATCCTGGAGCTACTCAAACCTAACTTTACAAATTCTTTATAATTAAGCAGCCACGTAACGTCATACACCCAATCCTCTGGAGTGTGGCCACAGCAGTACCCAGAGGAAATACATAGACTCAAAAGAATCTACTAGAGATCAAGAAGAATGAAGATTAATACTCAAAAATCTAGAAAAAAAAGTAAAATTTTTTAAAAGTAGAAGGAAACTAAGAATAAAAATGGATATTAATTAAAAAGAAGCAATAAAATAGGCAGTTTTGAGAAATATGATATAAAAAAGACATCAAAGTCATAAATAACATCAGGTATAAAAAGGGGCACATAGGTATAGTTACAGATGAGATTTTTTAAATTCTACAGTATAGGAGATCCTCTGTGCTCTGTGCCAGTCAAACCCTACCTGAAACTTTTGCTTATTTCTGCCCAACAAAGACAAGTGACCCTCTCATAATACTCTAGGCATAGCTCTATTATAGCACTTCATCATGGTATATACTTTTTTTATTTGTCTCACTTACTAGCCCCAAAATTCTTTTATAGAAGGGAATATATCTTACTTATTTCTGTACTGTAGCTCTAGGCATGCCTGGGATACAGTTAATATATAATAAATATTTGATACATGAATACATTCAGAGAAGACTAACAGGCTGATGAAACATGAAAATTCCATCATGAGGAAGGAAATGAGGATATATACTGTTTTTTTGTTTGTTTGTTTTTTTACGACAGAGTTTCGCTCTTGTGGCCCAGGCTGGAGTGCAATGGTGTGATCTTGGCTCACGTGCAACCTCCGCCTCCTGGGTTCAAGTGATTCTCCTGCCTCAGCCTCCTGAGTAGCTGGGATTACAGGCACCCCCTACCATGCCCAGCTAATTTCTGTATTTTTAGTAGAGGTGGGGTTTTCACCATGTTGGCCAGGCTGGTCTCGAACTCCTGACCTCAGGTGATCCACTGGCCTTGGCCTCCCAAAGTGCTGGGATTACAGGTGTGAACCACCGTGCCCAGCCTACTCTTCAAAACAAATGATTGCAGAACACAACATAGTTGTCTGTCTTCAAAAGTGTATGGGCTGCACGCCAGTTTGAGGGACAGAGCAAGACCCTGTCTCTAAAAAAAAAAAAAAAAAAAAGTGTATAGGTCTGTCATGGGGAGGAAAGATTAGATTTTTCTGTATAGACCCATGGAATAGAATTTAGACCAAAGTACATAACGTAAGCAGATTAAGATTCAAGTAGCAGTAGAGCCAATAGGATTACTTGATTTATTAGGAGCTTTCCTTCCCAGTAAGCTTCTATTTAAATTGTTTATAGGTAAGAAGTACCTCTTACTTCTTTCAAATTAATCATGCATCTTCCTGTCTTTCTTCCCATACATGAACCTCTACTTCAGCCCCAAACCACCTGAAGACAGTACAGGACTCTAATGTAGTGGATGGTCAAGAACTGTCTGGGGCCAGCTTAGGGTTATAACCATGTACATACTACTTCCCACATCTCCATCAGATTTTCAATTATGGAAATAAACCTCAGCAGGTTGGTATGAAGCCTGATTCTAGAAAGGCTAAATATGCCACTAAGCTGCCTGCCAGACGCTGCTAGTATCAACATTCTGCTCTTCATTCCAAATTGCAGTTTAAAATCAGTGCTTCTTTTTCCCAAATATCATGGCCACCTGTTTATGTCTTCTTTTCCTCTCTGACCAGCATGAAAATATTTCTTTAAAAAATTGAATTAATGACTTTTTCTCTTCATCAACTTCATTAAATGTAGAGATTAGGCTGATTTTTTAACCTGATCAGAGTTCACCATCTTCAAATACTGCAATGGTGTTGTTCCTCATGCAAAGACACACTCTTTTTTTATTATACTTTAAGTTCTGGGATGCATGTGCAGAATGTGCAGGTTTGTTACATAGGTATACACGTGCCATGGTGGTTTGCTGCACCCATCAACTCATCATCTACATTAGGTATTTCTCCTAATGCTATCCCTCCCCTTGCCCCCAACCCCTGACAGGCCCCGGTGTGTGCTGTTCCCCTCCCTGTGCCCATATGTTCTCATTGTTCAACTCCCACTTATGAGTGAGAACATGCGGTGTTTGGTTTTCTGTTCCTGGTTAGTTTGCTGAGAATGATGATTTCCAGCTTCATCCATGTCTCTGCAAAGGACATGAACTCATTCTTTTTTATGGCTGCATAGTATTCCATGTGTATATGTACCACATTTTCTTTATCCAGTCTAACATTGATGGGCATTTGGGTTGGTTCCAAGTCTTTGCTATTGTGAATAGTGCTGCAATAAACATACATGTGCATGTGTCTTTATAGTAGAATGATTTATAATCCTTTGGGTATATACTCAGTAATGGGATTATTGGGTCAAATGATATTTCTGGTTCTAGATCCTTGAGGAATCACCACACTGTCTTCCACAATGGTTGAACTAATTTACACTCCCACCAACAGTGTAAAAGCATTCCTATTTCTACACATCCTCTCCAGTATCTGTTGTTTCCTGACTTTTTAATGATGGCCATTCTAACTGGCATGAGATGGTATCTCATTGTGGTTTTTGATTTGCATTTCTCTAATGACCAGTGATGATGAGCTTTTTTTCATGTTTGTTGGCCGCATAAATGTCTTCTTTTGAAAAGTGTCTTTTCATATACTTCGCCCACTTTTTGATGCGGTTGTTATTTTCTTGTAAATTTGTTTAAGTTCTTTGTAGATTCGGGATATTAGCCCTTTGTCAGATGGATAGATTGCAAAAATTTTCTCCCATTCTGTAGGTTGCCCGTTCACTCTGATGATAAGTTTCTTTTGCTGGCAAACACACACTCTTGCTGTGCTCACCTAAAGTTACATTTTCTGTGAATACCACTTTCAGACAAGAAGTGCAATTACAAAAATTATATCTGATATTTATAATTTCTTAGGCCTATACCTGCGGTGAATTGGTTTCACACTAGAGGAAATGCAAATTACTTTGAATCCAGGTGGAAGAGTATTCTCTGACGTGTTTATTGAAAATTCTACAGCAAAACAAATGTAGCAGCTTAGAGAATCAGTAAGAGCTAGAGAGATGAAAATTTTTTACCTGCTCAAATTCAAAATATTGCCTGTGTGCATTTGCATATATACATATATGCTGTAAATACTTAAGAATATGTAATACCCATTCATTGTCTCAAACAATCAGGGCTAGCCACTGAAGCACGTCCCTCAGGTTGTTTTTGTGGAAAGCTGACTTCACTAGCATGTTTATTTCTTTGCTCCCCAAAACCTGGCTCTTCACAATGGCAAACCTTTTGGGAATACATAAAATATGCAACAAATGTGTCTGTCAGCTTGCCTAGTCTCTAATTGAAAGCCCCAAATCACCAGAATAAAAGTAAATAGGAAATCATGTTTAATACACCAAATCAATGAAAAGCATATAAAAGTTAAAATTGTCCTTTTTCATGAAGCCCCCAACTGTGTGCTGGTTGAAGAAATGACAGATCTTCTTGAGTTGACTGCTGTGTATATATGTTCCCTGATGCAACCTGAAGTTCTCTGTAGTGAACGTTAGTTCCTGAAATTATTCAGAAGGGTGCTGTTCACTCGTCAGAGTCTTAATGAAGGGGAAAACAGAACAGGGCATTTTTCTGGGAGGGGAGAATTATATCCTTTTCTCCTGTGGGTACTGTGGTCTGCTTGCTTGCTTGCTTGCTTGCTGGCTTGCTTGCTGGTGAATTTTTGCTTTGTAGAGAGTTTCTGGTTTCCTTGGGAAGTTGTGTTTCTGATCACTACATTGGACACACACACACCCTTTTCCAGAGTATCTGCTGTGTCATATCATTGTTTTATTAATTACACTCCTTGGACTTAATGTTAAACAGATTGGATAGAAAGGTAATAGATGGAGAGAGAAAGAAAGAGAGAGAGAGAGAGAGAATCATGTACCCTCTGCTATATTCCAGTCCTCAAAAGCTTTAAATTCCCCCAAAAAGTGCCTGACAGAAGAGAAAAAAATCAAATTTTCACAAGTGATCTGCACTTTCACCAGAAAGTGACCCTAGTGTGCATTTGATGTTATTTTCAGCTGCCCAGTGTCTGAATCCCCTTCCTAAAATCAAGGCAGCTTCTACTATATGAATTTTTACAGAAGGCAGAGCTCATCTCCCCTTTAGAAGCCTAAAAGGCCACTTTTCTGTGACCTCTGCCAAACTGGCCAAGGTTCATGGACATATGACCTAACCTCAGCCAATCAGATGCTACCACCCAAGACATTTAACCTGGTGGCCATGATGAAAAGACACAGAGATGGTGGAGAATGTGCGCCGCCATTAACATCCAGTGACCACTGCAGTGGCACAGGCAGTGCCAGCTAGGGTAGCAGTATTGTCCTCATCAGGACACTTCATTTGCTCCTGCCCAACTACCAAGCATGGTTATCCAGGCTTCCTGGAAATTCTGTGAGATAATCAGTAGTTTTTCTTTTTATTTTCTTTTACTATAAATGTTTATCAGTACAACACATGTATGGAGTTGACAAATCAAGTAGAAGTAAAAGAGTTAGGAGGAAAAGCAACTATCCCCTGCTTCTGCTGTTAGTTCCTCTCATCCTCCAACCATGCTCCCTAGGCACTTTTAACTTCTTTATCTATTTCTCCTGGAATTTATCTCCATGTTCCAAAATAACATGCTTACACTACTAGTCGTTGATTCACCAATATTAGACATTAATAATGACTTCCTCTAAAGGTTAGATGAGGATTTAGCCTCTCTATCCCTTCTCTACTTTCTTTCACCCAATCCTCCAAATACAGTTACATAACCACTTTATTTAAACCAACATATTATGTCCACATTATAAGGTTTATATAAAGGCATGTAGTGCATTCTGATTATCTTCTTTTTGTGCCATCAATTTTTGTCTCACCTTTTTAGAGTTGCTGGTAGTTTTCTGTATACCAGTCGTTGATATTTTCCCAAATGTTTGATTGTACAATAATTTCTGATAATTTCTGTGTCTTTTTCCAGATGCTGTATCATATCAGATAATCTCTTCATGCCCCCTTTTTTCCTTGGGGATTTGATGTTTATCTGGTGGCTCTCTTTCCATTTGAAAGATTTTCTCTGATATTTGCAAGTTATTAGCCATCTGAGAACTACAAGACATTCATAGAGTGATGGCCTAAAACCAATGAGAAATCCCGTGCACATGGGCGGGCACATGCCCTGGATTCTCTCTAGATTGAATGGGGAAAGTCTACTGCTTCTTGGTGAACTCCTAAGTTCATGGAAGTTTTTTTTGTTTGTTTTTGTTTTTTCTGGGGCTGTTTAATGCCTCCAGAATAGAATCTACCACTCTTTCTCACTGGGGTATAAGCCTGGCCCCTGACCTTCTCAAGAGAGAGAAGCAAGGCATCCTACCAGGGCCAGCTACATACATTGCAAGGCCCAGTACAAAATGGAAATGTGGACCCCTTGTTCCAAAAGCAGGGGAAATGGCACTAATGTTACTAAAATATAAAACTTTTTCTTTTCTTCTGCAGTCTCTTTCTTGAATTGTCATAGTGTTTTGTTTTTACTATTTAAAGTTATTCTAAGTTTAAAAAGATTAAAAATTTAAATAATTAGCATGAATTTTTCAGTGTTCATCTTTATGTTGTGCAATGCCAGTTTTAAATGCAAATATAAGCACATTTAACACTTAAACAGGACGACTGAAATTACACAATTTGTGTTTCATAGTGTGTACTTGAATATAAGTTTCATTCTTACCAGAAAAATGGAAATGCTGCACAAAAAAAATAAATAAGTAAAAACTCAATCATTTTTATCTTACTTTCATTTCCTTTTTTTAAAGACAGAATCTCACTCTGTGGCTCAGGCTGGAGTGCAGTGGCATGATCTCGGCTCACTGCAACCTTCACCTCCTGGGTTCGAGCGATTCTCATGCCTCAGCCTCCCAAGTAGCTGCGAGCACAGGTGTGTGCCACCATGCCTGGCTAATTTTTGTAATTTTTAGCAGACAGGGTTTCACCATATTGACCACGCTGGTCTCAAACTCCCGGCCTCATGTGATCCACCCACCTTGGCCTCCCAAAATGCTGGGATTACAGGAGTGAGCCACTGTGGCCAGCCTATTTTTATCTCACTTCTTAATAGATACATATTCTACTAACACTCTACATTCCTTACTGAAGAATAAATTAGGACAGAAAAGAAACTCTGAGTCTTACTACCTGTCCCATTCCATGTCATCATTTTTACTGTAGGTAGTTTGGCTAATACAAGAAAGTAACAGGAGTAGAAAGGACATGATGGGGTTCCTCGGAGGTCATCATTCTTAGAATGCATTGCCTTGTTCCTGCCTTTGAAAATCGTTATTGGAACAGGCAGTGTGGCTTCTCAGGCCTGTCAGCAGCAGCATACTCACTCACAGACTCAACATCTTGCTTTGCACTCACTTTGAGGCTTGCTAACCTACCATACATCCTGGGTCCACTGAAGTTCTGTGCTCATGGGACATCAGAAACACTATATTTAAATAGGGCAGCAAGGAACAGTGGACACATGTATTATGCATATCTCCTCTGCTCACATTCATGCTTCGTCATCCCATCAAACTTCACTTATAAAACACAAGTTCAAAGATAAAATTATTCAGAATTTCAAGATGGCAGAGGAGAGCATTAAGTCAAGCACAGAGTCGATCTGAGTACTGCGCCCTGTGCCTTGTTTCCTACTCATCATTATGCAGGCTTTCATTCAAGTCCATTTTCAACACAACTGCCTCACCCTCACCTACAGTGGCGCCTGGTTTCTCTGAGTCTGTAACCTCCTCTCCTGTTCAGTTTCTTCAGAGAATAAATCTTTTATTTTTGAGATGGAGTCTTGCTGTCACCCAGGTTGGAGTGCAGTGGCGCGATCTCCGCTCACCACAACCTCCACCTCCTGGGTTCAAGGGATTCTCATGTTTCAGCCTCTTGAATAGCTGGGACTACAGGCGCTGGCCACCATGCCTAGCTACAGAGAATGCATCTATTCTGTGTTAAAGAACCATACCTTAAGGCCAGGCGCGGTGGCTCACATATGTAATCCCAGCACTTTGGGAGGCCGAGGCGGGCACACGAGGTCAGAAGTTCGAGACCAGTCTGGCCAACATAGTGAAACCCTGTCTCTATTAAAAATACAAAAAAATTAGCCAGGTATGGTGGTGTGCACTTGTAATCCCAGCTACTCAGGAGGCTGAGGCAGGATAATCGCTTGAACCCGGGAGGCGGAGGTTGCTGTGAGCCGAGATTGCACCATTGCACTCCAGCCCAGGTGACAGTGCGAGGCTCCATCTCAAAAAAAAAAAAAAAAAGAACTATACCTGGAACATAAGGCAGATCCAAGAGGCACATGGGGAACAGGTCAGGGTTGATAAGGGTCTCAGTGGGATCAGCATGAATAGGAAGTCAGGTAGGTCCCTGGAGCCTGGGCAGGGCAAAGAAAAGTGGGTAGGCAGGGTATGAAATATCAGAACAGTGTCAATATGGGCATGAAAAATTAATCTGTTATTGGCACATCAATTTCTTTATTTAACTGAAGGTTACTGTTTCTATTAAAGAACATGTTGCACATTAAAAATGCCTTTTTTAGGCCTTTGACAAAATTCAACAACCCTTCATGCTAAAAACTCTCAATAAATTAGGTATTGATGGAACATATCTCAAAATAATAAGAGCTATTTATGACAAACCCACAGCCAATATCATACTGAATGGGCAAAAACTGGAAGCATTCCCTTTAAAAACTGGCACAAGACAGGGATGCCTTCTCTCACCACTCCTATTCAACATAGTATTGGAAGTTCTGGCCAGGGCAATCAGGCAAGAGAAAGAAATAAAGGGTATTCAATTAGGAAAAGAGGAAGTCAAATTATCCCTGTTTGCAGATGACATGATTGTATATTTAGAAAACCCCATTGTCTTAGTCCAAAATCTCCTTAAGCTGATAAGCAACTTTAGCAAAGTCTCAGGATACAAAATCAATGTGCAAAAATCACAAGCATTCCTATACACCAATAACAGACAGCCAAATCATGAGTGAACTCCCATTCACAATTGCTTCAAAGAGAATAAAATACCTAGGAATCCAACTTACAAGGGATGTGAAGGACCTCTTCAAGGAGAACTACAAACCACTGCTCAATGAAATAAAAGAGGACACAAACAAACAGAAGAACATTCCATGCTCATGGATAAAAAGAATCAATATCATGAAAATGGCCATACTGCCCAAGGTAATTTATAGATTCAATGCCATCCCCATCAAGCTACCAATGACTTTCTTCACAGAAATGGAAAAAACTACTTTAAAGTTCATATGGAACCAAAAAAGAGCCTGCATTGCCAAGACAATCCTAAGCCAAAAGAACAAAGCTGGAGGCATCACAATACCTGACTTCAAACTATACTACAAGGCTACAGTAACCAAAACAGCATGGTACTGGTACCAAAACAGAGAGATAGACCAATGGAACAGAACAGAGGCCTCAGAAATAACACCACACATCTACAACCATCTGATCTTTGACAAACCTGACAAAAACAAGCAATGGGGAAAGGATTCCCTATTTAATAAATGGTGCTGGGGAAACTGGCTAGCCATATGTAGAAAGCTGAAACTGGATCCCTTCCTTACACCTTATACAAAAATTAATTCGATATGGATTAAAGACTTAAATGTTAGACCTAAAACCATAAAAACCCTAGAAGAAAACCTAGGCAATACCATTCAGGACATAGGCATGGGCAAAGACTTCATAACAAAAACACCAAAAGCAATGGCAACAAAAGCCAAAATAGACAAATGGGATCTAATTAAACTAAAGAGCTTCTGCACAGCAAAAGAAACTACCATCAGAGTGAACAGGCAACCTACACAATGGGAGAAAATTTTTGCAATCTACCCGTCTGACAAAGGGCTAATATCCAGAATCCACAAAGAACTTAAACAAATTTACAAGAAAAAAACAACCCCATCAAAAAGTGGGCAAAGGATATGAACAGACACTTCTGAAAAGAAGACATTTATGCAGCCAACAGACACATGGAAAAGTGCTCATCATCACTGGTCATCAGAGAAATGCAAATCAAAACCACAATGAGATACCATCTCACACCAGTTAGAATGGTGAACATTAAAAAGTCAGGAAACAACAGATACTGGAGAGGATGTGGACAAATAGGAATGCTTTTACACTGTTGGTGGCAGTGTAAACTAGTTCAACCATTGTGGAAGACAGTGTGGCGATTCCTCAAGGATCTAGAACTACAAATACCATTTGACCCAGCCATCCCATTACTGGGTACATACCCATAGGATTGTAAGTCATGCTACTATACAAACACATGAACATGTATGTTTATTGCAGCACTATTCACAATAGCAAAGACTTGGAACCAACCCAAATGTCCATCAATGATAGACTGGATTAAGAAAATGTGGCACATATACACCATGGAATACTATGCAGCCATAAAAAAGGATGAGTTCATGTCCTTCGTAGGGACATGGATGAAGCTGGAAATCATCAGTCTGAGCAAACTATCACAAGGACAGAAAACCAAACACCGCATGTTCTCACACATAGGTGGGAATTGAACAATGAGAACACTTGGACACCGGGTAGGGAACATCACACACCAGGGCCTGTCATGGGGTGGGGGGAGTGGGGAGGGATAGCATTAAGAGAAATACCTAATGTAAATGATGAGTTAATGGGTGCAGCAAATCAACATGGCACATGTATACCTATGTAACAAACCTGCACGTTGTGCACATGTACCCTAGAACTTAAAGTATTTTAAAAAAAAAAAAAAGCCTCTTTTTTTTTTTTTTGAGATAGGGTCTTGCTCTATCGCCCAGGGTGGAGTGCAGTGGCTCAATCTTGGCTCACTGCAACCTCTGCCTCTCAGGTTTGAGGGATTCTCCAGCCTCAGCCTCCCTAGTAGCTGGAATTACAGGCATGTGCCACCACGTCCAGTTAACTTTTGTATGTTTGGTAGAGACGGGGTTTTACCATGTTGGCCAGGCTGGCTTCAAACTCCTGACCTCAGGTGATCCACTGCCTGCCTTGGCCTCCCAAAGAGCTGGGATTACAGATGTGAGCCACCGCGCCCGGCCAAAAAAATGTCTTTATTAAGTATGGCATCCTGAGAACTTGTGATTTCCTCAACGTGTTTTTGTTGGTGTAATGGGATTTAATGGATCTTGGGGTTTACACACCTGGTATTGCACCCTGGTTCCAGTATTCCCCAAGGGTAGCTAGCCATAGACAATTTATTTAACCCCACAGAGCTTTGCTTTTCTCTTCTGAAAGTAAATGGAGGTAACTATATCTAATCTCAGACCACTGTTGTGACGATAACGTGAAAATTGAAATTATATAGCATAGTGCCTAACACCATCTTGATACATAATGAATATTCATTTTCTGCCTTGTTTTCGATATTATAAAAATCTCTTATGAAGATATTTAAGTGAACCAAATGTCAAATTGAGAAGGATAGAGGCCAAAACAGACTTTTTTAATCCTCAGACAATGGATAATAGGTGCTATATAAGCACACAATTTTTTTTATTACACTAATGACTTATCCTCAGAGGACAATGGATAATAGGTGTTATATAAGCACACAATTTTTTTATTATACTAATGACTTTGCATATATATGTGGTATTAAGTGATAATGTATAACTGGCTTTTATTTACACATTGTGCACAAATAAATTTGTTTCAATTTGAACAAGTGGAAGTGGTTTATTCTGGAATTTTTTTGGATCTCTTTTATTTTTTTAAAGACAGGGTCTCACTCTGTCACCCAGGCTGGAGTGCAGTGGGGTGATCATAGCTTATTGAAACCTTGAATTCCTGGGCTCAACTGATCCTCCTCCTTTAGCCTCCCAAGTAGCTGAGACTACAAGTGCATGCCACCATGCTCAGTTAATATATTTTTATTTTTATTTTTGTAGAGATTGGGTCTCACTGTTGCCCAGGCTGGTCTCCAACTCTTGACTTCATGCAATCCTCCCACCTCACCCTCTTAAAGTGCTGAGATTACAAGCATGAGACACCATGCCCCACTGACCTAGTTTTTAGACATATCTTCACGGTTTCTAATTGGATATTTCACAACAAGAATGTCTTTGTTCATTTTGAACATTCAACAGTTTTATATTTTGTTATTTTAAGGTGTACTCCAGGTGTCCTTTTTAATGTTGCTGTTTGCAGTTATGTCAAGTCATCAAACCATGGCTATCAAGGTGCCATATTGCAGTCCATTCATGACCCATGTTCAAATAGGGTTCCAGTAAGTGCGTCTTCAGCACTGGTATGCTTGGTGCATACCAGGTCCTCCTTTTCAGCAATCATGTTTTGCTTTTTAATATAAATGATAATGATTGTCAGGGGATGCTACAGAAACAACTCAAGAACCTCAATGGTATGTGTGACTGGTCCAAGGTTTAGAGTCAAGTACAGGACTAAATCACCATAGATAACAGACCTTCAGTTTAACCAGAAGAATAAATCTCTATAGAAGTGTCATAAAGGTACAGTGCATATTCAATACAATGTAAAATGGTAAGAAAACTAGCAAACCTAACACAAACCGGCACAGGATTGAGTGCCAAGTAATTGATGATGAGAGTATGGTCCATGTTAGAATGTAAGAAGGTGTTAGAAGTGATCACCTATCCAGGTGATCACTCTGGATAGTGGAGCTGAGAATAGAAGGTGGGTTTCCCTAAACTCTGAAACTGGGGATGTGGCTAGATAAAGAAGATGCGGCAAAGTCGTTACACTGACAGGAGACTATCCACATTATCTCATCGGAAAAGCCTTAATGATTCTCATAGTTAGGGGAGTAGTCATGTAATACATATTCTTGATGCACCAGGATTATTGGTTTTGTGCCTCGCCTTTGGTATTATAAAAATCTTTTATGAGAAATGATGACTTCAAGTGCAAGGAAGAGGATGGAAATACTTGACTCTCACTGGAAAACATGAGAAAGTTCATTCTGCTCTTGTCTTCCCCCATCTGCTCTGCAGGAAAGTAAATGCCCTTGGCACTGCCACAAAGCTTCTTCAAAGGAATTTGTGAAAGGGAGAGAAAAACTTTGCAGATGCCCTAGAGCTTCAGATGGCTTGCAGCCCCTTCTTGACAACACTCCCTGAAGACGGCCATTTATGACCTCCCCTTAAAGAAAAAAAACAGACTTGCTTCACTTCCAGCTTTTAAGCTTACTTGCAGGTATTTCCTGCATATATCTTGCTTAGCAATGACTCCATTTCATTAACAAACTATCCAATAATCCTGTTGTTACCACTCACTTCACAGCTGAAATACCTGGACCACAGAGAAACACCTGCCTAAAATTGCATGGATCAGCAGAAGCAGGAACAACTTTAAAATTCCCAATCCACTCAACAAGAATCTCCCAAGTATAGGGAGAGTGTCAGGATAACCTCCCAGTTCTGTTCTTAGCCCTTGCTTGTTGACTAGCTTTCTTGGCACACTGATGTATGAGAAATATGGCTTCCACTGTGTACATACATACATACAGAATGGTACAGGGAGTAGTCTTTTCCTCCTTGTGATAAACAAAAATAGCCATGCCTACATCAATACAAAATAACTACACACCTTTTTTTTTATCCTTTGGACTTGCCCTTCGAAACGGTCATCTATTAACAGCAATTGGATTATTTTTTTTTTAACGGACTGGCACAGATGGTCTTGTATTTGACTCACTGGAACAGACAGTATTTTCTTCGGTAGGACCAACTGGAAAACGTTGGTTGGTTTTTGAGACACAAGGGACATAACTAGCGTTTTCAGACAAACCTAAGTCAGGTAAGCAAGCCTCTTTTCAAATCCCCAGTTTCAACGCAAGATAAACTTCTCTAAGATTTAAGTCAGTGTAAAATGTATGAGGTACCTCTTCCTTCCAGCGTCCCCCGTGCTTGATGAGGCAAAAGGAAGAAGACAGCGAGTGCTTAGCTGCCTTTTAGAGGATATTCATGAAAATCAGAAGAATGGCATGTGACACCTGTGGGAAAAGTTAAGGAAATTAAGATTCTTACATCGGAAAAAAATAACCCCTGGGGTGAGTTAATCTTCATGTATGTAAAGAGTAAATAGCTGCAAGATGCCATCTGATTTACTATAATAAGGGTAAAACACAAATTACTACATCTGAATTGCTGTCGATATAGCCACATTACGCAATGAGGAAAGTGTAACCGGATGTTAAATTAGGCCTCATCGTATCTTGCTCTCGATTAAGGTGCCAATATATTAACAGATATCATAAAAAATATGAAACAGATCCTTAAATGCAGAGTTACAAAAGGGTTTGTTCCGTAACTCCTGAAGCCTCTCACTTACTTTGAAAATACAAAAGAATGGACATAGAGGAGACAAGAAGCAATAGTAAAAAGATTCTTCTGCAGACGACAGTTGCTATGCCTTGAGTCTGCCCATTCAGAAAGGGGTGGGGTGGAAGAGAGAGCATCCTCTGTCACCTCGAGCCTAGACTGGACCATTTGAAGATCTAGAAATGGGCAGTTGGAGGATACAGAGGACTGGTTCCTGACTCAGCCTGAGAAAGCTGAATCATCCCATGAAAGCAGGATCCAAATGACATTGGGATTCATCTTCACTCTCTAGCAAAGGGTATGTAACCTATCCCCATGGACCAGATAGGAGCTAAAGCGGCTTGCCATTGGGTCCTGTACACCAGGGTGGAATGCGGAGGGGCCCAAGGACCACAATGCTGGAGATGAAATCCATCAGAACTACATCCTGACTTCTGTTTGATTATGCAGATTCAAAGGAAAGGCATTCTGGCTCTAAAAACAAAAACAAAATTGGAAGATATAAGTAAGACTAAGAAAAAAGGAAGGAAATAACTCCCTTGCTTTTAGGTTTGCTCAGAGTGAAGCAAGATGAAGAAAAATCAGTTATAAACTTTAAAGTAAGGTGTCATGCTACTGATATAAAGAGAAATTAAGAGTTTTGAGGCAAAACCAGCTGTCAGACAGGTAGAAAATATGATATAGCTCTTGAGAAAAGAGAATGCTCCTGGAACAGATGGGCGCGCCTCTGAGCTTTATAAAGCATTAACTAGCTGTTTAAATAAGTCCTTAGCAGATGTTTTCAATGGAGGTGAAATGGAAAAAAAAAAAAAAAAAAAAGTCCAAGGCACAAAGGGAATTGATATCACAAATAAGAGAAACTCTTGAATTCAGAGTGCAAGTTATTGTACAAAGTTTTTCTTTAAGACTAGCCACAGTATTTGTAAAACATGGAGCATATTACAAAATCTGCAATTAAAGTAATATATATTGCAATATTAGCCTTTAAAAGAGAGACATACTTAAGGAAAAAGATAGTTTGTGATGATATGTACAGCTCTTCATCTGAGACCAAAAAGGCAAGCAAACATTCATATCCACACTACTATAGGTAATCGTTTTTCTTGTAATCGTACCCAGCTATGAATACATTCACAAGAAAGGAGAAAAATCACAAAAGGATAAAGGAAAAGATTCTTTTGAGTCTGTGTTGAATGTACTGATACTCAATACTGTGTTAAAAATACGTATTTAAAAAATAGAGCTCAGTCCATTGCACAGAAAATAAAGGAGACAGTGGGTTTTTGTGTCAGATGGCTCACATACATACATACTTAATTCAATCAGCAAATGTTTATCAAGTGCCTCAGGGTGCCAGGCAGTGGACTAGGTGACCCAGTAGGGAAGATAAATAATATCCAAACTCTACCATCCATGAGCCTCTCTTACATGCCTGTTGCTCTCACTACTAGTACCTATTGCAAATTGACTTACCCATAAATGCTACTCACACTCACACATTTGGCCACCAAGCTGTAGGAATGGTGGAGGTGCCATTCCAGGTGTGGAGCTAGAGAGATGGAGTAGGAAGTGGATATGGAGCCTCAGACTCCACCCGAGATACAGACTGGAGTGAGGAAATGCGTAAGACCAGCACTCCACTGGATGTAGAGCCATAATCTAACCACGGTTCACATTAATGTCCACACCATGACTGTATGTCATTATTTAGAGTGGGAGGAGAGGAGAAATCAGAAAAGGGGAGGGAAGATAGCATCTGTGCCTATAAAATGTAAGCATATGTATTAAGAAACAACACAGAACAATCCCGGGATGAAAGACATCGAAGAGTAGGGAAAACAGAATGGATGAAACCTATTTTAATTGTCATTTTTTGACAGAATTCACATTGTTTAAGAGGTCATTAAATTAGGCATAGTGGTTTAAAGTCTGGAGTTTTGCCCCTAAGAAACTCAGGATTAAAACTATGGCTTTGCCACCCACTTCATGAGTAACCCCTAAGGTTCATTTTCCCCATCTACAAAATTGAAATAAAGCAGTGCCCACAAAGGGTTGCTGTAAGGGTTAAATTAGATGAAGAACACAAAGTACATTTATCATAGTGTGTGAAAATTATCAAAGGATTGAACAAATGTTTTGTTATTATTAATATTACCGTTATTAAGCCTGCTTACAATGAGGCAACTTTTAAACTTTATTATAAAGACATATCTATTCTTCTGACTTCTCAGGGCATCTTGTTTGCAAAGTACTGCAGAGTTTATCATCAAGGCATTCAACAAATAGTTATTAAGGATCTATTATATTGCAGATACTGTGCTGGGAATATACCAGGGGGCAGGACAGGTCTGATTCCTGCTGTCATAGAGCTCAGAGTTTGGAAAAGAAATTACTCTAGAAATGTTATTGGCAAAGTTCTTGGCATCAGAGAATGTCAAAAGAATCTTTCCAAGATGCACACATGGGTCAAATAACTTTTACAGAACAAGTAAGAAAATCTCCCCTCTAAGAATACTAGAAGGAAGAAAAAAAAATGGACCTGAAAAACTCAGGCCTCAGAGAAAATGGAACATTTATCTGATAAAGGATCTTTGGATTAATTTAATTCTGCAGCCCACAAGCCTTGCTATTCCACACTCAATTTCTCTGATGCTTCCTCTCCTCTTGACCTTCCCTGTCACTATTCTAGTTCCTCATCTCTCACAGGTACTACTGCTAATGACTCCTTACTGTGCCTCTGACACCTGGGCTTAGGCCCCTCTCATCATTCCTTCAACCTTCCCTTCTTTCAAGGCATTTCCAATCATCTCATTCTGTTCAAAACTCTGCAACACCCTCCCATTGCCCACAGGGTACAATTCAACAGCTTTACACAGCAAACAAAGCTGTTCGCAAACCAGATGCTTCTTATGTGTCAGGTCTCACCATTTCTTCTACCAACATTTTTATCCCGTTTTGACTACTTAAGGGTTTCAAAAGTACCATACTGTCTCTCACCTCTCTCTTTTTTCCACATTTCCTCTGCCCAAAATGTCCCAGCCTCCTTTGTAGGGCTCCTCCAGCATTATCTCTGCTCTTTAGACCTTGATTTTAGGAATCCTAATGTTGCATCACATGATTTGTTTGTTTGCTTTTGTGTCCATCTCTCCGCTGGATTGTAAGCTCCTTGAGAGCGAGTTTAGTACCTTTTATTTTGGAATCTCTACATCTGTGATATTGTATAAGCCAAAACAGATACCCAGTGAGCCAGCAGCTATGTTTTACAAAGCTTTTTTCACATTCATTACCTTATTTGATATGCCTAGAAATGGCGCCTTTTAGAAACCAGGTGTAACTGGTAGAGCAGGTTTGAGGCATTTTTACATTGTCAAATGATAAAACCAAAATTAAGAAATATTCAGAAGTGGTAGACTAGGGTTACATAAAGAAAAATAGCAGAAGATTTTCCTCAAACTCTTGCATTATCTTCACATTATCTCTCCTGCTAGACTATGTGACCTCTGAGTATAGGATTAAAAGCAAAAGAAACTGGAAAATAAAGGTAAATCATATAGCAAGAAAGCAGAAGGATTTTCAGATGCAACACAATAAATGAATCTATCTCATCACTCCCTTGTTAGTCACTCCTCAAAAAATTTACTCCCACAAAAGAATTTTCTGAAGTGTCTTCTATCTTCAAACCAAACAAAAAAACTTTCAAAATTTATGACCTATTTATTTTTTTGCTCTTTACAGCCCTCAGCTTCAAATTTCCAAAATGTTATCAAGTATTACATTTAATCTTATAACAAACTTACATCCCAGGTAGGATGTTGCCCATAGGACTCATGCTGGGTGATGCCTGGGTGATCCAAACAGGGAAACAATATTCCTTTAAGCCACATTAGCTCTCAACGGTGTCACTGGTCACGCGTAGAGAGGCAAATTCATGAGCAGCATTGGGGAGTTAATGAACGGCTGGCCAGATGGTGCCTGTCAGAAGGTGTTGACTTTTTAGACAACTGGGACTGTTTCCTGGGAGTAAATGAGAGGTGCAGCAGGGACGGATTGCATCTCAATCACACAGAAACAGACAGATTCACTGCTAATGAAAATAATCACATAGCCAGGCATATTTTTCCTCTTTTGATTTTGTTTGTTTTACCTGGTAGACATAGACGAGGATCTAGCTGAAACTATAACATCATATTAAACGACGCAATGGAGTAAATATGAAAAGCTACCTATAAACTATTAGTATTCTTAATTAGGAAAAATCAAATAGAATAAGGAAAAATAATGCAAATTAGTGGTAAACTAACCTGGAATTAATAAGGGTATTTTGATTGCTATAGCATGAACTACTTGAAAATAAATAAAATTTGAAATACAATAGTGACCTGCAGATGTTATTGAAATATTCAAACTGGTGGAGTCCATTAAGGATATTCTGGCACTTTTGACTTTCCAGCATAATACATCTGAAATGAACCACTTTTACTAATTTGACCATTTTCACTTGCTGCTTTGCTGAACTGCGGAAGTTTTCCTATTACATGCTTAGTGACATCTTTGGCAGGTAAACCTTGATACTCAATGCCCACATTTCAGCAGATATAATAAGTAGAAAACTTCATTGACTTTTTTGTTGCTATCAGAGAATATTACCTAAACATTTGTCTGCCTGTTGTGGTTACTCTTAGGTATTGCATAAAATCAGTTAAATAAATGCCATCACAAAACTATGGATAGCCTGTTTGGTCACAGTAACAGACTCAGCAGATTGGGCAACTCTATTTCTTACCAGCTATGTGACCTCAGGCAAGTTGTTTAGCCTCTCCTTGCCTTGGCGCCCTGGTTAAAGTGAAGATTCTATGAAATGAATGCAAAGAGTTTGACACAGTAGCTAGCATGTAGTCAACTCTCGTAATGCTTCTCTTTCCTGACTACAAAGAGCTCTCAGTCCAGGTCATTCATTCATTTCCTTCTTATGTTTCCATCCTCCTTGATTGCACACACTGGGTTTGTCTTCAACCTTGTGTCCATCCTAAACAGGCTTCTAGAAATTCAGAGCGATGTATTTGAAAATTTGCCTTGTTATCTAATAAGAGGCAGTGACTGTATGGAGCATAATATTAAGACACTTAATATTTTACCATCATTTTTTGCCACTTGAGTCAACCCCCCAGCAGGGGTCAATGTAATGGATTTTTCTAGTACAATTTCCTCTATGCTTTGAGGATTTCCTGGGGGCAGAGATTTCTTACAGACAGCTTAAACAATGCAATCAGTGGAAACAGATGAAGTTCCATATTCCTAGCACTGACCACAATATGTCATTTTTTTCTTTCTTAAAGGTGATTTATTTTTATGTTTGGTTGTGAAACAAGGATCAGATTATACACATATACACATTGCTCAGAACATGAGGTTAAGCGTTTGCTCAGCTTCCATCTCCTTCTGCATTAGATATTGAAGCAACTGTCAAGATGTGGAACAGGATTTTCTTCTTGTTGGGATAATAACGGCATATATTTATTTCCAGTAGACTTAATAAAATATAATGAATAACAAAATGGGAAAGATTTAGACAATTTCTACCTGTGTGTAAATGGAAAAGAAGGCAAAAACACTCAAAAGAGAACGTTAAAAACGTTCAGCACATCATGTTGCAGCATGATTAGCATGGTACAGAACAGAGAGGTGATGCTTCCCTTGGGTACCACATTTAGTTCAGCCAACCTGGAATATAATGTGCAATGACCACCTTTTAGACATTGACTTTAAAAACCATGATAGCTAACTCAGAAAAGTCTCTGGTTTTTAAAACTTACCTTAATTTCAACTCAAGACACTCCATTTGAGACAAATATCCTTGATGTTAAAGCTGAATGACTAGAATTCTACTAAAACTATTATTAAGTTGATTTGAGTAATGCTTTGTGAAGACAACGACCTGTGAACAGAACTATTTATATTAAAAAGCAACAATGTTTCTATGTTTTAGTCTCTTGTCATGCCTCTCTCAATACCATGCTTTTATCTGGTTCACAGCGTCATCAGTGAGAATCACAGCATTAAGACCCAAGTATACTCAGCACTCTTGATTACTTTCACATTGAGAGTAATGCATGTATAATTGCAAATCAGTTGGCCTCCTAACTCTAACCCATTAGGTTTTTCACATATCCATTAGTACAATTTACAGAATTAGAAGTGCTTCACTCACAAACATTTGCAGGCCACCTTTATCCAGTTACTTAAGAAAGTTTACTTGCATATTGCATGTGAGATGGCCACATAAACATGGATAGTATTCCACCTGGAACTGTGAAATATGCATGTCTCAAATAGAATTTGAATTTTAACAAAGACTTTCTTCCCAAGGAACCATGATTTTCACACTGCAAGTTCAAAAGTAGGATTAGCTTAATCTCAATTCTAGTTTCTTATTAGGAAAATAGCTTTTCTCCACTAGACTCAAACATGTTCAGAAGAAAAGAAGACTGAGGATTGAGACGATGCTCTGGATCATTTAGACCAAATCCACTCTATCCTCATATATTTGTACCATATAGCCTTTTTGCCTCAGTTCTATTTTTCTTTTTCTTTGCAGGCACCATTAAAGAAGAATTAAATACTGATAGATAAAAGTTAGCCTCGCTATAAGAATACAGTCAAATTGGCTGGGCACAGTGGCTCATGCCTGTAATCCCGGCACTTTGGGAGGCTGAGGAGGGCCGGATCACCTGAGGTCAGGTATCGAGACCAGCCTGGGCAACATGGTGAAACCCCGTCTCTACTAAAAATACAAAAATTAGCCAGGCGTGGTGGTGGGTGCCTGTAATCCCAGTTACTCGGGAGGCTGAGGCAGGAGAATCGCTTGAACCTGGGAGGCAGAGGC